>NC_000002.12:50190352-50493382 GCF_000001405.40 Homo sapiens
AGGGATGCATAAAAGTTTATTCTTGGGTGTGTTCTAACTTCAAAGAGAATTTTGTCTGAAATATATGGGACATTTTTACATCTCAAGCATATAGGCAATCATCATAAAAAAGTTATTTAGTTTCTAGTATTAACTAAGGCTTTATTTGATAGCTTAATGATCTTTAAAATAAAAACAAAACATTGCCATTTTCTGTTGATTTAGCCTCTCTTCTATGAAAGTCTCCAAGCCCCATTATCACACCTTCTAACTTTTTTTTTCTTTTTTTTTTTTTTTTGAGACAGAGTTTCACTCTTGTTGCCTAGGCTGGAGTGCAATGGCGTGATCTTGGCTCATGGCAACCTCCACCTCCCAAGTTCAAGCGATTCTCCTGCCTCAGCCTTCTGAGTAGCTGGGATTACAGGCATGCGCCACCATGGCCGGCTAATTTTGTATTTTTAGTAGAGACGGGGTTTTTTCCATGTTGGTCAGGCTGGTCTCAAACTCCCGACTGCAGGTGATCCACCTGCCTTGGCCTCACAAAGTGCTGGGATTACAGGCATGAGCCACCACACCCGGCCTACACCTCCTAACATTTTAAAGTGTTAACACAATTCTTTTATTTACAAACCTTTTATTTTGAAATACAGAATCACAGAAAGTTGTGAAAATGTACCAGAAATTCTTGTGTGTCCTTCACTCAGTTTCTTTCTTTGAGACGGAGTCTCACTCTGTGGCCCAGGCTGGAGTGCACTGGCGTGATCTCAGCTCACTATAACCTCCGCCTCCCAGGTTCAAGCTTTTCTCCTACCTCAGCCTCCTAGGTAGCTGGGATTACAGGCACATGCCATCATGCTCAGCTAATTGTTTTTTGTTTTTTTTTTTTTTAGTAGAGACGGGGTTTCACTATGTTGGCCAGGCTGATCTCTAACTCCTGACCTCAAATGATCCACCTGCCTCAGCCTCCCAAAGTTTTGGGAACACAGGTGTGAGCCACCATGACCGGCAATTTCTTACAATGATAATATCCTGTCTAGCTATAGTACAATATCTAAATTAGGAAATTGACTTTGGTCTAGAGATTATTCCGACTTCACTGGTTTTATATGTACTCATTTGTGTGTTTGTATAGTTATAGGTAGTTTTATCATATGTGTAGATATATGTGGCCACCACCACAGTTAAAATACAGAACTGATTCCATCATCATAAGGATCCCTCTTGCTACCTCTCTTTGGCTTACACAACCCCTCTCCCCACTCCATCCTTGAGACTTGTCAAATCAATAATCTATTCTCCATCTCTATAATTTTGCCATTTCAAGAATGTCTTCTAACTGGAATCATATTTATGTAACTTCTTCTGTTGGACTTTTTCATTCAGCATAGTTCCCCTGAGATCCATCTAAGTTGTTGTGTGTATCAATAGTTTATTCCTTTTTATTGTTGCATAGTATTCCATGGCATACCATGTAATATGTTATACACTGTGCATAACACATTTTAATACATGTATTAACTTAATACAGTGTTATTAACTCTGGAAACAAATTTTTGTTTGTGTTTCTTCAAACATACAGCTTCTAAAACTGAAAATATTGGCTAGGAAGACATATCTAAATTATAAAGAACCAATTGTTCATATGCTATATAAAAATGTTTGGAGTAAGAGGGCATACTTTCATAAAGTTTTTTTTTAAGTCCTAAAAAGAGGATTTTATCTAAAATAGAATGCAGCTTCTAAGTTCTAAAAATATTATATATCCTATTGAGTAGCTCAGTTTGTAGCTGGAAGAATTGTGCCTGTATCCCAGAAGGTCTTATAAATAATTTATTCAATTTCAGTATTTAATTTAATTCATTTACAAATGAGATGAGGTTAGATTATTCAGTGTAATAAGAAATCTGTTAGAGAAAATAGTATTTTTCATAGTTGATTATTATAGTATCATTTTCTTTAAAGCATGAAATGCATCTTTTAAAATATTGATTAGAGACTATAATGTAACTTTGCTGTAATTACAATACTTGTCTTCCAGATACGTCCTGAAAATAGTTGGATTAAACAAATTAGTGAACATCCATTCAATAAAATACTATGTAGCAATTTATAATGATGATAAAGATATACAATTTAATGACATGGGGATATATTCCTTAGATGTTAGTAATTTGCATAGCAGGTTACAAAATAGTTTACATAATATAATTATATTTTTGTAAAATGATACCTATATATCCACACAGGCATACAAATCGGAAGAATATATACTTTTTTTTGGGGGGGGCGGTGGGGGACAGAGTCCTGCCCTGTCACCCAGGCTAGAGTGTAGTGGTGCAATCTCTGCTCACTGCAACCTCCTCCTCCCAGGTTCAAATGATTCTTGTGCCTCAGCCTCCTGAGTAGCTGGGATTACAGACATGCACCACCACTCCCGGCTAATTTTTTTGTATTTTTTAGTAGAGACAAGGTTTCGCCATGTTGGCCAGACTGGTCTCAAAATCTTGGCCTCAAGTCATCCGCTCCCATCGGCAGGCTGGGATTAGAGGTGCTGGGATTACAGGCGTGAGCCACCCGCCCCACAGGAAGAATACGTAATAATTGTGTAGTAAAATACATATTTTTAAAGGGGCATTCTGGGCTACTGTTGTGTATATTACTCTTTAAACCCTTTAAAATAGTCTTGAACTCAATCTGACAAGATTACTGTTCTCATGTAAGAACAATATTTTCCTTTTACTACAGGGTCAATATTCTTGCACAATAGTATTGCATTCCTTTACTTATTCAGCTGTACCTAATTAGTTAACAAGTTCACTTTAATTATTTTCATAAAAATAATTCCATTTTTGATGATCCTTCCATATCCTCATCATCAATAAAAGCAGCAGTCACATAGCACTGATTAAAGAAATTACTTCAAAATTAAAACTACAAAAATAAAGGCTTCAATATCATAGTTTCTCTAAATGTATCAAATTCAGCTGTTAAATATATTTAGAGCCTACGAGTGTTCTGGTATTGTCCCACTCACATCTTATGATTTCTTTTTCCTTTACTTTTTACCAAACAAAGCTGCTGTGTTATCATTTAGGCATTTATAATTTATTCCTGCTTCTTATTTTACAACAACTTTCAGTGATATTTATAAACTGTGGCATATTAGTGATTGATATTATGTATAACCTTGGGTAGACTTCTGGCAGGGCTTCTCTTCTGCTCTCTCTCCTGTCACTACTGGCAGCATATACAAATTGTTAAATTGCCCTGAGTAAAGCTTTATTGTGCCACTAATATCTAATTTTCTTTTGAATTAAAAACTACCTTTCATATATTAAGCATCAGGATTAGTACTTCAAAGATACCCATTATAAAATTTCTCAATTAATAAGATACTCATAGAAAAATGGGGTCAATTATTGGCATAATTATATTCTTTTAATATTTTATATCCATTACCATTCTGTGGTCACAAAACTATCTCAAGGACATACTGTCTTTTAATTTGGAAAAAAAAAAGTTGAGCAATTTGAAAGTGGTTGTATGAACTACTTACAGAAAACAAACGTGAATCCTACACTGTTGATAATGACTATTACACTACTATTACTCCTTACAGTAACAGCTAATGCTTGTGTAGTAGTAATTACCATCAATTACCATCTATCTGTTATGTAATTTAACTCCTTTTGTCTTAACTACAACCCTATGAGTTAAGTGACTTGCCCACCAATTTACTGGCTTACCCTTTGGTCATCAGATAGGGGAACTACAACTCAGACCCAGGTGGTCTGGTTCTGATTACATAATGGTAAAATGGTTATTACAGAAATTTATCTGAATATGGACTACTTTGTGACTAATATTCACTTGAATTTTGTGTCCCCAATGCTTCCTTCATATTCAATCTTACCCGTGCCTATACTAATCATCAACAGTTTAGCTTGAGAGCTGCAGCAGTTGACTAGTTTTCCAACAGCTAAACAGAAGATTCTGGCTATTTATATGAGCATTCTCTTAATGCTTTACTATATTATGAACTGACCCTAAGGGCTAAATATTATTTACAAATCCAAGAATACAAATTCATAAATTCTAGCTATTTTTATGCCAACGTGGACTGCCAATTTGCTTTGAATTATATTAAAAGTTCAAAAACTTTAAAGTTCTTTACCCCCCCGATTCCCCAACTTCAAAACGTATTAGCTGTTACAATTCATACATGGACTAGCATTCTAAAGATGTGACAGTTCCCTTTGAAAGATAATGTTTGGAAGTCTCAAGACTTGAATTCCAGTGTCATCTTTGCTCTATGATGCTGGATAAGTTACTTAAACTCTCTGGGTTTTATTTAATTCCTCTGGAAATTTAAACATAATTTTTATGAGAATGGACTTTTCTAAGATATTTTTACAAGAATCTAAGATGAATTAGAGATTCACTTAATGATGACTGTCTGAAGGAACATGCATGAACTGGTCTAATTTAAAGAGATTTCTTTGAGTGATCTGTCATTTTTCTCTCCTCTTTGTTCAAATTAAAGAACAACAACAGATAACGTTAAGTATTTTTATACTTCCTAAAAACAACTTTAACTGACAGAGTGAAAGGTATAAAACTTCACCCTGTAATAAATTTGAGGCCATCTTTAGACAGAACAAAATTAATACGGCCCTGTAGATGAAAGATTTACACAGATCGATTTTCTGTGCCCATTGACAGAGCAACTGGATAATCTGTGGTAGTCTTTTACACTTGAGCAGTTAAAACCTCAGATATATCCTGGACTGAAGATTGGTCAGCAGTTCTTTTCTGGTCCATGAATAATTAAAATCATTCTTATTCTGTATTCTATAAATATGCAGAGAATGCAAGATTTGAACCATATACATTCCGCTGGAGAAGCTGCTTGGGTCCAAGCGAACCTCATCAGCGATCACTTCAAAGATCAATTCTTCATGTCCACAGCATCATGTTTAAATGATTGTGTGTGATCCAGCTGCTTCTTGTCTCCTTGTTGCTTCATGCATGATCTTTACTCATGATCTCACAAACTATAGTGCTTCAGTAGTAATTCTGCATTTTGTGCTAAATTTTAACAGTGATTGCCATTTTATAGGCTAATAGGCTGTTGTTGTGCATATTTATTATAACACTTTTTTCTTTTCCTATCAATAACAGTGCTTTGCTTAGATAATGAGAAGCAATAATCTCTTTAAAATATTTACAAGTCTATTCATCATGGGAAAAAATAATCTTACAAAGACAGCCTTCTCCACTGGCATTGCTTTTGATTGTCACTCTCCTCCCTCTTCCCAAGACAGGCATTTCCATAATTGCATCTTATCTTTTTGTATAGACTGAGAAACTGGCAATAACTATGCCTGGGCAACTGTTTTTTGAGGAAACACACAAATACTACCTGATAATGTGATTATATGCAATGATCTAACTTGCTCTTACTTTTAGGACTATTAATAATATTAATGATTTTAAAATATAATATTATCATAGTTTCTTATTCTGATTGTAGAGTGAGAAGAAAGAAATGTAAAGGTAGAATATAATAATAGTAATATTGTCTGTACTTAATTCCTTGGATGGCCTTTCTTTTTTGGTTTGTTTTATTTTTTATTTTTTAATTTTATTTTAAGTTCTGGGGTACATGCACAGGATGTGCAGGTTTGTTACATATGTAAACGTGTGCCATGGTGATTTGCTGCACCTATCAACCTATCAACTAGGTATTAGGCCCAACATGCATAAACTATTTTTCCTGATGGTCTCCCTACCCCTGACCACCCCCACAGGTCTCAGGGTGTGTTGTTCCACTCCCTATGTCCATCTGCTGTCATTGTTCAGCTCCCACTTATAAGTGCATGTTCTTAGATATACTCTCTTACTAATCTGTGTAGGGTAGATTCACTCCCTGAAGTCACTCATGGGGTTCTAATTTCTATAGCTGAGAAATGCCTTTTAGATGCCCTTGTTCTATCATACAAAAACACTGTTACTTATTAGAATTCCAGAAAAGTTTCCTAAACACCATCAAAAATTGTATGGCAAAGAACATGTTTGTACCTCATCAAATTTTATTTATGTTTTGATTATCTAATGTGCTAGTCATGTTTGTGACTTTCCACACGAAATGATTTCCCATGTTTTCTTTCTACCATGCACCATCCTTATCATTAAGGAACACAAATACATTTAATATCAATGCAATCAGTGTAGAAGTGAGGCAATATGACACAGTATAAAACAGGCAGATATACAGTTATATATTTATCAACATGTCCCATAGATAACATATATCTATATTCCTTCAACTAAAAAGATTTGTTTAATATTGCCATTTATTATCCCATATTTCTATTTTAAAATGTTTTGCAGCCATAAAAACAAATGAGATCATGTCTTTTGCAGGAATATGGATGGAGCTAGAGGCCATTTTTCTCAGCAAACTAATGCAGGAACAGAAAACCAAATACTGCATGTTCTCACTTATTAGTGGGAGCTAAATGATGAGAACTTACGAACACAAAGAAGGAAACAACAGACACTGAGATCTATTTGAGGGTGGAGGGTGGGAGGAAGGAGTGGAGAAAAAAGACAACTGTCGGGTACTGGGCTTAACAGCTTGGTGATTAAATGATCTGTCCAAGAAACCCCCATGGCTTGAGCTTACCTATGTAACAAATCTTCACATGTACCCCCAAACCTAAAATAAAAGTTTAAAAATATATCAAATGTTGGGATAATATGGACAGAGTCTCCTAGCAAACTTTTTTTCAGAAAATTATAGTCCACTTTTTGATGACGGTGATTTCAAAGGAAACTATACTTGAGTTCAGCTGCCAAATCTTTGTTTTTTTTTAGATGCATAACAGTTCAAGTACCATTCTCTCTTATTTTGTCACCTGGGAAAGAGGTCAAAAGCACAGTGGGACACTTTACGGGGAACCTGAGAGTCTAAGAACCATTCTTACATGCCATTAGCATATCAATTGATCATGAACATTTAAATTTGGTAGTTTTAGGAACTTAGTTTCCTTTTCCTAAAATGAAGACTTTGGATTAGTCTCTGAAGCAACTTTCTGCTCGAAATGTTGATGAATCCGAATCACCTTTTCATTCACTTGAAATGTAATGACGTTTTTGATGTCTACGTTACAGAGATTGAAGTAACGCATCTTTCCCCTTTTACACTATTATATTTTGTGATGTTTTGCTTTAAAAAGTTTTATTTTTTATTAATCTTCAAATTTCATATTTTTATCCTTGATAACTTCCTTCTAGAGATGAGGCCAGTGATAAGCAGTATCTTAATTCTCTTCTGTAAGTATTTTTTCCTTTTGCATATGTTCTCCCATTCAGTACAGATATCAATTTAGCTATTTCTTTATTCCAGACACAATTCTCCTCTGAGATTTTCATCAATAAATAAAGAGACATGCTAATATCACAGCTACTTGACACCTACCAAAACCCTCATTAACTAGTGGACTACAACATAAGAGAATGAACATATTTTTTAAAGGCCTTATTGCAAGTCAAGTCACAAAGTTAATACTTCCACATGTATTTGCCACTCTTTTCCTTCAACAGAAAAAGAAATTCCAGTTGGTTGTAAAGTCAAATCTCTTGTCTTTTCAGTTTAACCAGCTGCACTCTAAGTCTCAAGACAACTCCCTCCTTATTCTATGTTTAATTGACTACCTTCCCTATGCCATTATCCATCTGCATCTTTATGAACATAATCAAACCTCCAACCCTTCAGATCATCTGTGGGGCATTGCTATCACCAAATAGCAATTTAATGCTGAGCTTTATCTTTCCTGGGGATTTTATAAAGCCTTGAAAGAATAAAGAATCTAGCAGTTGGCACACTCACTTGCATGCAAACTTAGATTGTTAGGAAAAGAAAAAAACATTTAGATAATTAAATAGGATCATTTAATAGTTCACTCATTTCATAGGATGAGTGAGGCACCAGGGGAAAAGTGGATTGTTTGAGATAACACAGCTAGCCATGATCCCATGTAGGAGAATAAGACTGCTCTAATATTTCACTCTAGCACCATCCCTATTACATCACACAACTTCCCACACTTCCTTCGTATTTTCCCATGATAAATTATACCTTCTGATTTTTCCCCAACCTCTCGAATGCCCATAATGTAACTGAAGAAATATAGTTCCTTAAAAGTAGCTATGGTTTCTAAAGGCAACTCAATGATTTTTAAAATACAATACAAATTGTTTTTTAAGTGTTTGTTTTGCTTTCCAGCTTCAAGCAGAACCATCGATGTGACAACCGAAGACACCAAAGAAGCAGTCCTTTATTATTCAAGATGTCATTAAAGTGCAGGGATCCTAAAACCCCATTCTAGATTATCCCTTAGTATGGATCAGGCTAAAATATTTGCTTCATGTGAGGCCCTAGGTCTTGAATATTGCATGGTTTCTTGTACTCTGCAAATTTCTTCTGAAGAACCCCCTTGGGTGAGTGACTGTTGTCAGTATTTATATTAATGAACTTTTGGAGCACAGGTATATCTCCAAAGAGGAAAGGCCTAATTTTGTCCCCAGAGCTACAAAGGTGTATGGCATGGCTGACACTCCCCAGTAGCTGCCCAAGGATAGCATGGTGGCAGATGCATTATCAGAACAAAAAGCCAAGAGTGCCCAGAGCTGAGGACCTGATCAAGTGAAACAATCAGTCCTCTCTGTGCTACTTTGCAAATGGTTCATATACTTTTCAATTAGCACCTGTCATCTGGATGCACCAATTTTCGCAGAAATATTTTGAAAGGACAATTTTATTTCACGTTAGCTGGATGAAAATAAAACCAAATTCCTTCTAGTCAGAAATATGTTTGGAAAGATTGAATCCAAAGGTTCATATATCCATCATTGGCTCCAGATTTCATTATAATGACTGCAGGTCAAGGATTCCTGCAAAGATTTTTTAAAAAAATAGTATTTTAGAAATCATATTTTGAAACCAGGTTTGCTTCTGTTTAGTTAACTCCCAGAGAAATATACTGTTTTTGGAACTCCCAACCCCACCCCACCAAAATATAATTTGCTTTTAAGAATGTAAAAGGATTATGGTTTACACAAGAAACTAAAACAAATATAAGAAGAAAGTGCATGTATGCCAAAGTAATCGCTCTCTCTCTTACTCATTCTCTCTTTCTTATACACACACACACACACACACACACACACACATGCACACTGACATTAATAAGTCAGTAATGAGTATATTAGTGTCTCTATTTAAGTTTTCTGGTGGAAACCAAACTCTTAATGCTATTTTAATGAAGGATTTGTCAGTGAATTGTTTCCAAGAGTGGTAAGGGAGCATGCAATCACATTTTTATAATGTTTGGCATCATTTTGGGGTGTAGGAACAAGCAGATTAACTAACTGAATGATACAAAATGGTCCACTCCTCTTTTCTTAAAAAGACACATTGCTCCCTGCAAGGCTGCATGAAATACAATTTATTCTTTTTGGACAATTTCATAAAACAAAAGTGGAAAATTCATCCTAGAAAATCAGATATATAGAACACTACAATTTTATTACTATTTCTGGACAAATTTTCCTAACATCCTTGCAGCCTTCTATTATGATTCACAATGTCTGCAATGAGAGATTAGATGACAGAGTAACCTATTAAGGAACAGTTACTATGCTGCTGGATGCAGCTAATAATTCCTTTATTTTTCATTTTTATTACTTTATAGTTTATGAATGTACAATCTACTCATTACCTATTATAAATATTTTGATTCAGCAATGGAAATATACACCAGTAAACAAAACCTACTTGAAGCTTTATGTATTACATACCCACCCATAAATGTATATCATAGCATTTGCTGCCTACTAGACTTATTTCTTGAGAATCTAGATGAACTCTTAATCTTAGCTGTAATAACTACCTGCAAACTTAGTATCATCTCTGCTGCTTTCACTGTTTTATCTACTGTCTGGAGTCATAATTAATTGGCCTCATTACTGTTTCTACTATGAAATACAGTCTTCTAAGACATTAATATTTTATCAGAGATACTAGTCTTGACCTAAAACAGAGAAGAATAAAAACATAATTGTGAGTTGGAAATTTTTTTAACAATAACATAAAATAATCGATGTTTTGGCAAGAATTATGACAAGGCTGCAGATAGCGACACACAGCTCACTGAGTGTAAATGGAGAGAACTAAACAGGCTCTCATTGGTGTAACCCTTCTAAAACTCTCTAGCTAACATTCATGCCAAAACATCCAATATATCAAAGACTTTGTAGCAATCTGGAATAAAATCATTTGGTTTCCTCTAGACTGTTTCTGCAAGAAGTAAATATAACCCAGATACAATGAATGAAATGAAATTTTAGTGCACTGAGTTATGGTTTTCAAAAGTAAGAGCAACTTTAGAACACTAAATTTAAAGTCATTCCTAAGAACCTTCTGGAACCTATGAAAATTGTATTAGGTTGGCAAAACCTTCTCTCGTCTTCCTATTTCTTTTTTTCATTTTTCTTGTTCTTTTTATCAGTCAATACTAAATAAGAATGTGCTGCCCAAAAAGTGAAGCTATAAATCGACTTCTGAAAAGCTTCCCTTTTTCTCCATGGGTCTCTATTTCATTAGGTCTTCTTTTATTTTACTTCTGTTGCCCACTGTTTAATTTCTGAGGCCAGTATTTTAATATCCTTTCAAGTATTGTTTTCAAGATGTATTGTGTAGCAGATCAGTAAACAAATAGTTATTTGCCTCTTACTCTATCCAAGGCACCGTACTAAATGCTATGCAGAGGTGAAAAGTATGCTTACTGCTATGCAATAAATTACAATCTAATGAGGAGCATAAAAAACACAATAATAATAAAATAGTTCAAGTGATTTTCAACCTTGGTTGAACGACGGAATCACACATAGAGTTCTAAAAAGACTTGACACTAAGACCTTACCTCAAAATCCATTAAACTAGAAACTACTGTTGTCAATGTTTAAAAACTGAATGATAGGGACAATAGTATGGTTAGGATCCAGTGGAAGATGTTCTAAATGAGTACTCGTTGTAAATAGCACATCAAGTGTCCCTCAAGGGCAAGGATCCAGTGGAGCTTTAAATCTACGTAACATGAGGGAAAGTAATGCATTAGTACTGTTCTAAAGTTATTCATGGAATTCTCTCTTCTGATAGCTTATTATCTTCTGAGTTCATAGTAGATATTCCATATCTCAATGAACTGGTTTTATTAGGAAAAGAAGGTGTACTGGTTATCTGTTGCTGAATAATAAATTACCACAAAACTAAATGGCTTAAAACAACCATACACACGCATTATCCTCACTGTTTTTAAGAGTTAGTAATTCAGGGGTACTTAACTAAGCAGTTCAAGCTCATGGTCTCATGTGATTGTCACCAAGTTTCTGACCCTGGCTATAGACAGCCAAAGGCTTGAGTAGGGCTGGAACATTAGCTTCCAAGGTAGTGCACTTACAGAGCTAGCATCACATTGTTCTTAGTCCATTGGTTTTGTATTTCTCCTTTTCCTTACCTGTATTTAAAAGTTTTCCTTAAGTTCTATTTTCCCCACTGTGATACCTAGGACTATCAAGTCTACTTTTATTCAATACATTGTTACTGAGTATCTCTCCTAATCAAGACATTATGCCTTCTGTCTTTCCAAGCTTGAATACATCACAAGTTAAAGGGGGAAACACATTTGTTCACATGCAGCTACTATGCCTACTGTACTGTTTTAATTTACCATAATGGACACCACAAACAAAGGGCTACAGCAAACGAAAGGAGGAATGATTAGTTACACAGGAGTGGTGTATAGGAAGAATTAAAAAAGTAAGCTGGGGCTGGGCGCGGTGGCTCACGCCTGTAATCCCGCCACTTTTGGAGGCAGAGGCAGGAGGATCACAAGGTCAGGAGATCGAGGCCACCCTGGCTAACACGGTGAAACCCCGTCTCTACTAAAAATACAAAAAATTAGCCGGGTGTGGTGCTGGGCACCTGTAGTCCCAGCTACTCGGGAGACTAAGGCAGGAGAATTGCTTGAACATGGGAGGTGGAGCTTGCAGTGAGCTGAGATCATGCTACTACATTCCAGCCTGGGCAACAGAGTGAGAATCCATCTCACAAAAACAAAACAAAACAAAAAAAAAGGAGGCAATGGACTTGAGCAGTAATGATAAATTTGAGTTTTGAGAGGCAAGAAAAGGAACTATTGACTTAAGCCTCTTTTCTGGGACCACTGGTACTTTGTTATCCTGCCTGACACTTATAGCAAAATTAACATATGTCTAGGCTAAATAAACATATTAAGGAGGAGATGATATATGAATATAAAGTATATTAGGGGAGGCAGACCAAATAGCTTCAACATTTATAGTAAAACAAAATACAACATCATTGGTAGCAAGTGAGAGAGGAGGGTTTGAAAATTCTTAAGATGTGAAAATGCATGAATTTTACTTGGAACTGATCCACATTTTTTTTTGTTTAGACTTTTAAAATAACTCTATAGCAACATTCAATAACTTGGGATTGTACTGGAAAAAGTAAACAGTGAAAGGGACACAGACCAGAAAATTAAAAATGGCTAGATGTCAATGGGAGAAGAAATTGAAGGTCCCAGAGAGGGCAGCCTGGAAAACGGTAAAAAAGATCTCCTGAAGTCTGAGAGGGTATAATGAATGGCAAAACTGTGAAGAGCCTGGAGAATCAAGGTCGTACTGCAGGTGAAGAGCTAGCAAACCTATTGCCAGGTCTTCTGATAACTGAATTAAAGTCATAATTCAGTTCTTGGGGTCAAAGATTGAAAACTCAGTATCTTTTTAGCCTGAAGTCAAAGAGGAATAGCTATTTTCCTCAAGTTTTACAAAGCTAACAACAGCAAGGTACATTGGTCTAACTTTTTCTTAACAACCTAGTGTAGGAAACAAACTCTGAAAAACCAACAGTCAAATGAGCTCTACAGTTTGTGACATGGGTCTTTACATTCTTGAATGTGTTTCTGTTATTGCTGAACCTTATTTTTGTACAAGGGTCCATGTTTGAAGCATTTGAAAGATTTGAAATGTTGGAATTCCATTTTTAGCTGACTTTTTTATATACTGAGTTTTCTAGGCATTACTTTGGACAACAGGTTAATGCTTGCCTTGCTCTCTTTGGATGCTGTCTACTCCACACAGGTATAATCATACATACATTTCTATCTAGACATCATGAAGATTCCACTTCTGATTCACAAGAGCTATCACAATGTTGTACAAGTCCATATTCTTAGGATAAAAAGGTTAACTCTGTGTCTCAGCTTTGTGGGCAGAAGAAAAGAGAAGACATATGCCCTATTATTTGTGTTATATTACATGCATTATATTTTCGAAATGGCATTTCAAAGAAATAGCTACAAAATCAATAGTTCTTTTCTTCTTCATTTTTTTCTTAGAGCTGAAAACTGTTCAACAGCTTTATCGTATTAAATTAGGCTTTCTTAATCTTAAGCAGTGACTGGGTGAGTTTTCCTGGGGAAAAACAATTCTGAATTCCACAGTGTTTAGGAAATAATACAATCCAAATCTGAGAGAAAAATTTAACGCCAATACTGTGTAAATATTTCACAAAATATTTGTTCTCAAATATTCAACTTTCTATGTATACATTATACAGTTTTGACTCAAAGATCACTAAAATGAACCTAAAATAAACCCACCATGGAATAGTAACTTCCAATAATCAGTCTTTCGCCTTAAGTGAATAAGGATCACAATAACATAAAATGCAGAGGCTATAAAGTAAAAAGCAGCACTCAAATTGTAGAGCTGGGATAATACAACTAGGTGAAGTTAAAATTTGAAAGAAATAAATGGGTTGGTTTTGAGTGATGGTACTGCCCATGATTTTTTACTTTAAATTTTTTGTCACTATTAACAAAAAATAAAGTTATTTGAAATAAAAATATAAGAAATACCGTGTGTGTGTGTGTGTGTGTGTGTGTGTGTGTATGTTTGTATGTAAGACATAGAGGAAAAGACCTAAAAGATACAAAATGCTACCTTCCAATTCAACTGTAGCTATTGGCTCTGTCAGTTTTAGCCTTCCAAGTTGTTTATTTCCATGAGCTCAGACAAATTATACCACTGACTCATGTGCTGCTCCCTGGGTGCAGTGAGAATATTAACCTTTAGAAGGGGCCTTAAAAATGAGAAGTGTTATATGAATTGATATTTTAGTTGTGTGTTGTGTATAAACTTTTCTGGATATGGCTTGCCATTTGGTTGGGTGCTTATTTTTGGCCACTCAATGTGCATACCAATGTGTGTGACTTCATATATGGGAATAAATGTTGGCATTTGGATTATTTTTGGCCAAAGAGTGGGTGAGAAATTAGACACACTCAGGAGCCAAAAATAACCAAATGGCAAGCCAATTACATAAATGTTTTCTGGCATACCAAAAAAAATCTGGATTAGTTATCATAAAACAAGAGTTTTAGTTCCAGTTATTATTACTATTACTACTACTATTACTTCTGGTGTTATTCCTACTAAAGCCACTAATCTCTATTAGACACTTATGCTTGTTAAATTTATAAAGTTTAACATGAATCATTCCATTTACACCAAACACTAATCCTATATATGAAGTGAATATCAGTACTATAAATACATGGATATCAGTCCCACACAAAGACAAGAAAAATTATGCTTAGAAAGGTTAAGCATCTTAGTAGAGTCACACACAAATAAGTGACAGAGTTGATGAGAACCCAGACATACTGAAATTAAGAATCAGACAATTCATCTGCATGGAAATTCTGCTACTAATATATCATGTGGCCTTGAGCACTCATGAAAAACTTTGCATTTTAGTTTTATCATCTGAAAAATGAAAATGAGTATATGTGCTGTAGAACATGAGTGTAAGTGCTATAAAAGTAGAAACTGATGGAATGTGTAAAGTGGATGATTACTGAAATATTTTCCCTTTCCTATAAACCTAATAGATCATTTATTCTTGCATCTGAGAAAAAAATACTAATGATCAACAGAAGACTACATGAAGGCAGTAACTCTAATATTTTCACGGTATTCTTCAAAGTTTGAATATACATTATAGTTCATTTGAATTCTTTCAAGAATGCCAAGAAATAGGACCTTCAAAGTGCAACATACGGAATATATGTTATAAAATTCTATGTTGTATAAGTCACACAGATGTGGAGAATGGAAGAAAACTGGACATCAAGCAGCTAAGCACTTTCCACACAAAATCTTGTACATGATTGCTTATAATAGCATTACTCATGATTACCAAAAGGTGGAAATAACCCAAATATCCATGAATTGATGAATGGATAAATAATTGCAGTATATTCATACAATGGAATATTATTCAGTATTTAAAATAAATGAAATACTGATACATGTTACAACATGGATGAACCTTGAAAACACTATACAAATGAAAAAAGCCTAGTCACAAAAGATCACGTATTATATTATTCTATTTATATGACATGTCCAGAATTAGCAAAGGAATATGGAGAAAAAGTAGTAGTTGTCTAGGGCTTGGGAGAAGGAGAGAGAAGGGATGTCTTTCAGGGGGTTCCAAATTTGATTATGGTGATGGTTGCACAACTCCGTGAATATACTAAAAATCATTAAATTGTACACATTGAGTAAATCACATTGTGTATGAATTATATCCTCATAAAACAAATGAAAAGTTCACCACCACCTCCCAAAGAAATACTAGAAAACTTATTTATTTGCAAAATTTTCAACTGCAAAAATTATATGTGTGAATTCATTAAACACTTATACAGTACAATAAGTTATACATGCATACACACAAATACACACACACACACACACACACACACACACACACAACAATTTTTTTCCTAACTAGACATTTTGAAAACCAGTTTTAGGACAGGTTGTTGTAAACAAAAGTATTCACGAGGTGGTCAGACCAATTTGAAATTATCCAATTGGCATTTTCACCATGTCTCATGCAAATGTATGTCAGAAGATAATAAGATCTCAGAGGACATTTTTTTCTTTCTAGTCAGCTGCATCTACCCAGGCTTAATTTCAATCTATTGCTCCTCATTATATCCCTTTGGAGAGCCTAATTCCATTCCCCACTTGATGGCCATACCCTCTGTCTAAACCTGAGCATCAGTATACCACATCCTCTGCAGTAATCACACCTCGGGACAGCACATTAAAAATTACCTGGAACTCCCAAGGAGCTGACATTATGGACCCTCAGGTTGACAATCTGAAACAATGTCTGGAAGGTTTTGTTTTGTTTTGTTTTCAGCTTTGCTCTACTATTGAAGTAATGTTTGAAAACGTCATTTGTTAAAATGTTAACAAAGCAAAGTTATATATAACATATATAGTATATATTTAATTACATATGCAAATGTAATATATATTTTATTTATTATGAATTACACAAACAATGTGTGTGTATATACACACACACACAGAAATGGGCAGTACACACACACACACACACACACATACATATACACACACATACAAACCCAGTGAATCCGAATCTGAGTACTGCCCATTTTAATATCATGTCATAATATTGAAATTAATATACTAAGTGTACATTAGGTTAAAAACAGCTGCTCTTCTAGCACTCTTCTTCAAGAAAAAATACATAGAAGAAATTCATAAAAGTATGTTAGATGCTAAAATCTAAAATTCAGCAGGGACTTACCGATGGGGTATAAACAAGATTAATCAATACGATGTGCTAGATTTCAGGAGAGGTAAGACACATTCACCAAACTATCTTCACATTTTATCTACCTGATTTAAAATACAAAATCTTTCCATGTTAGAACAGGTGTATGAATTTACTAAGAGTATAAGTAGAAACTGCTATTAAATTGCTGTGGAAATACTTTTCATATTTACCTACCTTGTCACAAGATGAATTTTTTAAAAGAATACCTCTGTAACTCACCTCTTGAATAATCCCTTGTGGTCACAATGGAAAAAATATTTTTTTATTTTGATACTTACTGATACATGTTATGCCTTATTATAGTAACTTAATATATACAATTAAGAAATATATATTTATATATCTTCCCCTTAATCTTCTTAAAGGAATTTGGTATTATTAATCTACTCTTACCAATAAGGAAACAGAAGGTTGCAGATGTTAGATAATTTGCTTATGATTCCGTAGCTACTATGTGACGGAACTTGACTTTGAATCAAATATTATACTTCAAAGGCCATCTATGTTCTTTCAAGCATAGCAGTTGCCTCCACAAAAGCATTCTGATCATTGAAGAGTCTAAACTCAAGAAACAAAATATGATCGGCTTTAGTTCTTCTAATAATTGTTCTAATCCATACTATTCTGAATCAGCTATCATTTGGGAAAGTTCTCTTAATATCTTGGCCCAAAGTTTACAGCTTTTTGGCCATTTCAAATCTCTTCCCTGCTATTCAGTACCACAAGTTAGGGCCTTTGTTGTTTCCATGTAGAGTAGGAGGGACACAAGCCTAGGTTGGTATATGGTTTGAAGACCTGCTTTTCCCCTTTCTTCTAGGCCCAGCCTCTTCTTAGCCCTTGGGTGAAGAAGAGGAGAAAAAGGCAAACCTTCCCTTCCTGGACTTGGTGAGCTGCTGTGCTCCACTAGTTAGTTGTGGCTGGCTTACAGCCTGCAACGGTTGGCAGGAGAACCCACTGTCTGGTGTCCAAATGATGGTGTTCTGAAATGCACTGCTCATTTCCCTCCAGTGGAAGACTGAATTTCCACTCAACCACTTTTGCACCTTCTCAGCCAGTAACTCACACTACCAGGGTACCCTCATCCAGTGGGCAGACCTCTTATGTACTAGCACAATGAACTCATGCCCAGCAACTTTCTGAGATGTCCAATGTATCAATGAGAGATACAGACATCTTCATCTCACAAACAGTGAGTGTACAGGTTACTGCAATGCTGCTACCCTTTTGTCAGCCCTTTACTGACCAAGCAGGTATCAAATGAAGGAAATACAGTTCCGGTCTCCCTCCTCTGACCATTCTTGCAAATCTTTGTAAATCTTTCTCACAGGGTATCCCTTTCCAGTTTTGAAAAGGGGATATAGCTTTTCTTCCAGCATATGACATTCACTAAAATGCTATTTGCTCCATTTCTCGGATTATTTTGATTTAGAGAGGAGGTGGTGGTGGAGGGTCTTGGCTCCTGTCCATGAGCCTGCAGGGGCTGTACTCCACCCTGCTTCCCAGAAGCTCTTAGAAAATGCAGGTCCTGAATATCCACTGTCCTCAGTTTGGGGTCTGAGCTAACATTCAGGGACAACAAGCAAAAGCTCATCCCATTTAATTACACTTGAAAATAACACGAGTCCTTTAAGTTGTAGCCCAAATTTTAAAAAATCAAGCTATCTTTCAAAACGTGCTAACATTCTTGCGTTAACACATTTGATGTTAAAACATTTGGGTCTTGTTCATTGTCTCTTTGAATAAGCTTTAATAGATATTTCTCACACAAACTACATATAATATAGAGACTGTATGTAATTTCCATTTCATATTTGCAGCAAATGTGACATTTTCCTTTATTGCACACCTCTTATTTCTTCATTCTCAACTCTTTGAACTCTGAAAGCCCAAGCCTTAAGTCAAAAAAGTATGAGAATCCATGTCCACACTTTAAAAAGGACCAAGAACACAAGGTTGTGAACTACTCTAAACACTGAAAGAACAATTTAAGTATTTCTATAGCCTTCACCCCTGGAGTACTCCACTTCTTTGATAAAGTGACTATTTTTGCAAAAAGTCTAGTGAAGTTCATGAGTTTCACTTCTCTCAGGTTGAGAGAATGAGTTAACTTGGACTCTAGCGTTCATTATAAACACTAGAGATTTAATATATGGCCAAATGCCAGAGAGTCTAATTCAAGGCATTAACATAAAATAATAACAGTTACCATTTATGCAATACTTGTGGTGCACTAGCACTATGCTAGGCCCTTCACAGGCCTAGTTTCAGGATTACAGTCTAACTCCATGACGTGGGTAGTATTGGAGCCTTCATTTTACAAACGAGAAGACTGAGGTTGAGGAATTAAGTAGCCCAAAACTGTAAAGGTGGAAATAATTGGGGCCAAAATTCAAGTTTATCAGTTCAAAATAGTTTTTGAAAATCTACCATATCCATGGCATAGGTACTTAAATAAAACAAACAAAATTATACCCTTTGAGAATTTCTATTTGGTTCTGTCACAACACAGTGCCTACATTCTTACAACTAAAGTATGTATGTAAATAAGACATGTTTCAATAAAAACATGGAAAACATTTAACAGATATCTGATTTATTTTCATTAAACAAATAATAGATATAACTTGGTGTTTTCAAATTATTTACACTTGTTGCAATAAAAAATAAAATGAGAAATGTCATAGATTTAAATCTCAGTTGTACTTAAAGCCTCTGCAATAATTCACTTTGTAACCACTGTATATATTTATTAATGAAGTATTAAAAAATAATTGTGCTATACTATATATGTACTGTTCTATGTATTAACGATAATGCTGTATTAGTGATCTTATTAATGCTGTTTATCTCTCAACTCTCTAACAGTATATTTTCCATTCAAAACCAAAATTATAATTACTTGGGTAAATATTATCATTTACAGGCAAATAATAAGAATTTGAAGAAAATCAAAACAGAATTGGTCCAGTCAAGCCCAGGCAATGAGACCCAATCACAAATTCGTGCATAAACTTTTGCCTAAAGAATAGCCTTGTTTTGTTTTCTCCTTGTATCCAATCTTAAAAGTGTTTTAATGAAGATTTGAATATTAAGAATTCATTATAAAAATAACAACTCATCATCGCACTGTGTTTGGTTTATTCAAAAAACTCTAAAGTTATTAATTTCAGCTTCCTAATTAGAATAATCCAATTTTAATCTACTGGCATTTTTGGAGATGAATGGATTGGTGGTGCATTATTCTAAAAGTTAAATCTCATTAATATTTAATTGCACCCACATTCACAGGTATTAATTAGAAGTGTTTTATGAGTCATAGCTATTATTGGAAAATCAGGTACAATTTTATAATTAGCATAAAATGAACTGTAATTTTGAATAATCACTGATAGTGATCATTTAGTAGACCTTGTGAGATTATTAAACTTGTTGATCCATATAATAATTTATATGTAGACTGCATATCACCATTATAGTGATACTTTTGAGACAATTAAAAATAACATTCCCTTTCAGCCAAGCAGGAACACATATTTCATTGTTGTTTTGACTATGAATAAAAACCCTTTCTGCTGAATACATTTTAAAGCAGTAGTAGAAAATAGATAATGTACTAGTTATGAAATTGAATAAAGCACAATCAAAACTATAATTTTATTGATATTTATATATTATTATATGTTTATATCAAGATCTTTCAAATAAAAGATATATTTAGCTTTTAAAAAATAAAATTACTTTCACATACATAAGACTTGCACTTTGCTCAAACACACACTATTTAAGTGGTTTAATCAAGTCTAAATAATGGATAGTTACTAGAAATTCCCAAACAACAAAATGACACAGTGATATATAAGTTAAGTTCTATTAAAGAGAAAGCTTTTGAATAATCTCTATCCATTTTTCTGGCTTTCATAATAAAATGTGGACATACCAAACTGACTTGAAAAAAATTTAAAAGTGGCCACTAGATTCAAGGGAAACTTTATTTTAGGAGAAAACTTGTTGAGGGAAGTTCCTCTTATACCTTATGTAAGAAAGCCCAATATAAGAATTAACCATAGGAACTGCTGAAAAACCTCCCCTTAAATGGGTAGATGGGTTCAGTGAAAAACACACATGCACACATACATATACACATATACATATGTTATATTTATATCATTTTGATATCATGCTTAGAGTATCTGTATCCTAAATTTAATAGAACATTGAAAATAAGAATCCAAAATAGTACTTAATAATCAACTATTTCTTCTTAAGATGAAAATATTCATAGTCCCTAAAAGATGATTAAATTCCTATATCAACAGACTATTAATTTGAATTATAAACCTTGTAATTTTCATATTAAATGATAATAAGACAAATATAATATGCCTGTGATTTCCATTATAACAGCAAAAGAAATGTGACGATTCAATAATCAAATATTTTCATATATACTGGAGTCTATAAAGCATTTCATATAGGTAAACTTGAATGAAACCTAATATTATATACTAAATACTAAGGAAATATCGTCATAATGAAGGTTAAAGTTTAGAGATAACTAAAAACAACAGTATAGTATATTCTGTAGGCAAATGTTTAATGTATCAATTATACATATTACACTCTTGGTTATAAATACTAAATATCTCTTAGTCAACCAGACTCCATTTGATGTGTAATAATTTTGCCTCATCAAGAAGAAGACAGGGTAAAAAAAGAACAGGAAATACGTGTTCTTCGTTCATTTAATACATATAATTGACAATTTCAGGAATATGCTGTAATGTACTCTACACAAATCTTGCATTTCCTTTGGCTCATTCATGGGAGCAAATCAATATGAATTCCTAATACATCTTAAGAGCTACACTAGACAGAAAATTTTTGCTTATTGGCAAACTAAATCCACTATATATTCACTATTAAAGTTTCCTGTCCTTAAAACTGTCCCCTCAGGATTTAATTTAAAAGCATGGGATTCACTGAATATGAAGTATATTTTTCCAAATTTATAATTGAAAAACAAAGTTTGTGAGTCATCTTTTTTCAGTTTTAAATTCTACTAACTTCTTTATAAATGTCACAGAAACTCTCAGAAGTAGAAAATCAACAAGATAAGCAGTTTCATGGTAGTGAAAAAAATATGCTTTGAATTTGCAAAAAAAAAAAAAAAATGGGTTTGCCTAGAAAAGATATCAACACTTTAATTCCACAGATTATTTCACCCATTAAGTTAGCATTCCCTCTTCACCTATATGGCTAATATTAAAGGCCTGTGTGTGACCCTACAACTTAAGTCTTGTAAGAGCATCGATTTGAGTCTGGTTTTTTTTTTCTCTCTTCTATACACAGCCTCCAGGAAAGTCCCCAAACTTAGAAGTTTTTGATAAATAACTGTTAACTGAATAAATGGCAAAGTTTGTCATTTATATGTTTATTTAAATCTGTAGCCTCAAAATTGGTAAAAGAAGTTGAAGGTGGTTTGGGACATTACAGTTCCTTTATCTGAGTGAACGAGGCAGAGGAGGAGCATTCTTAGGAAACAAATAAACCAAAAATATTACTCAGGTCAGCTTGAAAGAAAAACCAAGGGAAAGGAATAAGATGCCTTTGTCAATCACACACAGCCCCTTTAACCTTTCACAGTTTGCTTGCATTATATGAAACTTCAAGGTTAAATGCAAGACAAATGTGAACTGATATTTCTGCAAGGGTCAGGTAGGTACCAGTTGCAAGTCATTATGATTGCAAAGTGGTTCTTCATCATGAGAATTTCCAAACTGCAAGAATATGCCTGCAGGCTTTAGTATGGGAAACACTCATTAAAGTAGTAATAAAAATATCACCTTTGAAATTGTTTCCCAGTTTCTAATTCCCCTAAGATGTGTTCTGTCTTTATAATTGCTCATAGAAATTAACATTGGTACCATGGCAGACAGGAGCTGGTTGTTGTCTTTGACATTAGGAGGGTGCTGCACATTCTGGAGATCCCAAGAGCTTTAATTTGAGAAACAGTGGTCAAGTGAACGAGGTGAGATAATATCTTTATTCATTCAACAAATATAAAATGAACATTTACAATAAGCTAGGCACGGTTTTAGGTGCTGGATATACAGAAGTGAACCAGACAGACATAATAAGTTCCTCACTTATACAGTTTGCATTCTAATGATACTTTAAATATTGAATACATTTTATAGAATGAAGGAATAAAAGCTATGTGACTAAGGATATAAGAAAAGACAGGAAAGAAAAAATTGGGATGAATATATTGTTTGTAAAAACAATGGCACTATGGATTGTATGTGAACTTCAGCTTGTGAATTTCTGCTATAATTGATTTTCCTATACAACATAATAGAATGATAAGACTGTATAATGGATCTGGAAGTTTCGTTAGTCCAGGCAGCCCTCTGATGCTTAATCTTTCCACACTCTACACAAAGGAACTTGTAATACTCATGACCTCTTGAGGTAGCCCATTCCATTTCTAACCCACCGAAATTTTTAGGTATTTCTAGTCAATTAATTATCATGCCTCCTCGAGTCATTAGCTAGTGGTTCAAAGAATCTTGTTTGGACTCCTAACCAAGAATTCTAATCACTTTTAATTTCTTTGATGATTTTATAATTTAACTTGGTTTCAACTTTTTTCATCAACTTCTTGTTCAACTCTGAAGGTATTCCATTTAAAAAGTGTGACAAGCAGAGCACTCCACAAACCCCAGCAGAGTCACCACTGCAGCTAAGAGGAATTCACCACATCCATCTTTCTAAATATTAATGCATCCTAAAATTGATTAGTTTTACTTGGCAACTTCGTAAAACTATTGACTTACATTAAGTTTATGCTGATTACTAAATTGTAACAGTTTATTTAGTTGTTGTTTATTTTGTGCTTTACTTAAATGTGTCCCTCAGTTTTAGAGTTGTCAGTCTTATGTTCTTGGATTTGATACTTCATTCTAGCTTGGGATACTCATATTAGTCATAACTTTGATTTTCAGCTTATCTACATACTGAGTAACAATATCTTCTTTTATTTTAATTCAAGATATTGGATAATTTTCATCAGGCCAGGGCAAGGATAAAGCCCTGTAGGAAGAACTAGCAATCTCACTCTGTGATCACAATTCCTGAACATATCCAGTAATTGTCCCTAAATGGGAAAGTCTTTAGCATACGTCTTTCTCTTTTTCAAGTAGATTGCATAAAATATGTATCAGCAAATCTCTAATGCTAAATATTTTCGGTTCCTTCTAATCCAATCAGCAACTCTATATTCCATACTTTCAGCATTTAATGAGTAAATTACCAAATAATTTGGGTCATTTTTGTCCAGGTAGAGACTGATGTCAACATTAGTATGACTAATGTAAGCAACAGAAACAATATTAATTCCAGCAGGCACAGAAAAAAATCTACTGCCTAGTTATAAAACAGAATTTTAAGATAATTCAAATATAGTCTGTATTCTAGCTACTTTCAACTCTTAAATAGAGAGCTTGACTTCTGATTTTTCTAAGGAGTTTACTGATAATTTCTCTCTAGATTTCATGCAGAAGTCATAACATATCCTACATTTTATTTTTTAAGTGACTATAAGATAATGAAACTGCTTTCTTGTATGATTTTTGGAAACCACATAGCTCTGTATTGCACCATGATGACTTCAATGTTTCAAAGTACATTCACATCCTGTTTCATTCGATCTTCAGAATAATTCTATAAGGTGGATAGGAAAGTATTATTATCTCGACTTTATAAACTGATGCAGGGTAAAATAAAATATGTAGCATCTCTAGGACTCAGCTCACTTTAATATAGCTAGGTCCCTGATTTGCAGCCACATTATTACCTGAATTGTACATATCACAGAAATGAGACAGATGGCGGCAACCCTCACAAAATTCATTTTAGATAATATGTTATTTATCTAATTACCTTCCTATTCCTCTGAGAGTTGAATTATTTTATCTGATACAGACTTCCTTTACGTTTTCTTATAATGGCATTAATGCCCCTTTACATTCCACCTCCATTCTAATCCTACTCCCATTCTCCTGATTAATGTGCTCCTGTCTTTCTTGTATTGCATTAAAAGAAAAAGGTTATTATAAGGCTCTGAAGGTAAAGAATGTTACATCCTTATTACACCCCTGGGGCACATTTTAAAATAAAGGCCTATTATAAATAAATACTATATGTTATGTGTCAGTGCGATTCTTAAAGCTCAACAAATGAATCCAATTCATATTAACATGACCTGCTACCAAGTATAAATATTACAGCTTCCTGTGTCTAACATTGTCTCAATCAAATATTACTGGGTGAAAACATTTAATTTATAAATAAAAATACAGTAAAAAAGTAATGAGATTGAAATCAGAAAACCTAAACTCTGATCATTGCTTATCCTTTTATTAGTCATGCCATTTATCCACAGGCCTTAATTTTCTTATTCATGAAATATGCACAGTAAAAAGAATTTCTGTACCTTTTGAAGTTGTTTTAAAAAGATTATGTGTATAATGCTATTAACTTTAAAACAATATTTAAAATAAGACATCATGATATTAATAATAATATTAAAAAATCAGGACAATCTAAATTAAGGAATTATTGTTAAATAGTCAAACTTCTGCAGAGCAGGCAATTATTTTTATCCATTCTTCAGCTCAACAACATGTATCTCATGCTTTGCCCAACCATATAGCCTTATGCAAAGTGAATTCTCCAAAGAAAATTTAAGCAAGTACATAATTGGCATTTTTCAGCTGATTTCACAACTGAATGTGGTTAAACCTCATATTCAGTTGGTGACATTGGTTAAATATTTCAAGGAACTAAATATGCTTATAAGTAGATAAAGAATGGAGGGAGTGAAGCAAAGAAAAGATGGTGTCAGAAAAGTTATTTTTAAAATACTTTGGGCCTGATACAGTGGCTCATGTCTGTAATCCTAACACTTAGGGAGGCTGAGGCAGGAAGAATGCTGGATGCCAGGAGTTTGAGGCTGCAGTGAGCTATGATCCCACCACGGCACCCCAGCCTGGGTGACAGAGCAGAACTCCATCTCAAAAATAAATAATTAAATTAAATTAAATACTTCAGTGTCAAATGAGTTAATTATCTCAAATGTTTATAAACATCTTAATGTTTATAATTTTAAGATACTTGTTATTGTTTTTTCAAACTTAATGCTCTACTTTGAAAGAGCAACACAGTATGAGAAGAAGGGTTCAATTTAAGATATTTGATTTTGAAGTTGAATGAGGATACTGTATTTAAAGGCATTGAGCCATACCTCTGAAGTATTTACCAATCGGATTTTGAAAACAGAATTATTACTTCCTTTGAACCACTTTTAATTTTCATTACACCAAATGAAGAGATTCTACAAGATCTACATTTTTCAAATAATGGAAGTGAGCAGAGACTGAGACATGCCAACAGATAGAGTTTTTTCTTTCTTATTTTTCTGTTTTCAAGCCATTATTTAAAAAAAAAATCAGAGTGCTTTATTGAGCTTAGAAAGACACAGCCTTAGGGAACAAAATGACTACACTAATTTTCTGCATATGCTAGTTGGGTGGAAAGTTCAACACAAGTTTTAATGATCAATGATGCCACGTTAGCACACTTTCAAAAAGTGGATTTCAGATTTGGGTGTGATTCCAAACATGCACCTGCCATCCTCAAAGCAGAGAATTCAGGTCCAGAATAATCACAAGTTCTAAATTATACACAGTGTGTTGTGAAATATCATTATTATTTTTAGAAAGTGAAAAAATATCTGTGATAGAACCTATTTAATGTTTTGTCAGCCTCCACAGATGTGGCTAAAAACAGCTTCCCAGTAATACTTTCAAGGGTCAAAAGCAATGACCTTGTCATGTTTCTGTGATCGTGGTAAAACACCTGGGTCAAGACACTAGTGAAGATTAATAAGGTAATTATAAAGGAATCAGAAATGTTATTGTAGCAAAGCAGATGTAGCAAAAACAGCACCTCCTAATACTATTGGTATTGTCCTCAACTTTTTTCCCAATCCTTGATTATGAGGACCAAAATAAATATGTTTTACATAATAAAATTTGCTATTATTAAGAATAACAAAGACTATTTAAAAAGCAGTAGACTTATTCTCAATCACATCTTTAAAAATCACCTTTGAACAGGATGTTCAACATGCATATCAGAGCTGTGGGAGAATATAAAGCATGACCCCATATACCATTGTTATTGCTGTATCTGTGCCCATTGACAGTTGAGAAACTAAGTGATTAGAAAAGACAAAGCTTAAAAAAACGTAAACTTATTGGACCTTCTTTTATCTGGCTGGATCTATAATTACATGCTTTAAAACTCTCTAGGTATGTAGTTTTTTTTAAACCCTATAAGTAGGGGTTCAACTTTCAATTTAGATCATGTTTCAGAAATGCCTAAAGAGATGGACAGACCGAATTATAACAGGGGACCTAAAGAAACAGTCCTAGGAAAGCGTGCATTCTGTGGGTCTGTGGAGCAAGTCTGTCAACAGAACGCCTGGTTGAAGGTCATCTTTCCAACCCAGAGTCCTATGCAGAAAGAAACTTAACAGCAAAGCTTTAGACTCTTACTTGAAGTCTCTCTGCAGTATGACATCACTTGCATACTTATTAAAATATTTTTGCCACTTCTCTTTTCATCTAACTTATTGTTATTGAAAAACTAGATAAGATATTTCCCATTTAGCCATTCATCCAGAAAACATTTACTGATGCCTAGTAATGGCTATGTTAAAAGGCACATAATTAGCCAGACACACCATGTTGTATCTCAATTTAGCTCATTATTTCTGATGGCCTCCTTTGTTTTCTTCTGTTTGGCACACTCCTCTCCCATACATACCTGAACTACCTCCTCTGCAAAGGTGCTCCTGAGGCATCAAGGCAAAATTCACTCTTCTTTCTTATATGCTACTATTATAAATTTCAGTGCTTCCATTATTGTCTTTACATCATTTTATTAAAATTATTTCTTCAAAAGTCTTAATGGAGAGTTTTCACTATTCAAGTTTATTGAAGCATATGCAATATCTCATCCACATTTCTATCCCAAGAAGCTAACAAGGTTCTGTTCACTTTAAAGCCCTCAAGAAGTGATTCATGAATGAACGAAAAACTTTCCACCTTCAGTGGGAATTGGGTGACAGTTAGCTCCCAGACACGTTTTTGAAGAGATCTACCAGCTCTTAGTATGAATACCATCCTTTCTGACAAATGGTGATGATTCTCTCAAAATGGAAGAATATCTCTCACATTCTACTGGAGATTTGAATGTGTTCTCCTTAAAGTTAGCACCTTCTTTTTTTTTTTTTTTTTCTTTCTCAGAATCTAAACGTCTTTGGTAAACTTCATATTTAGCCACAGTGATTATAGCCCCCTCCCCACCACATACCCACGGTTTTGGAGAAAAATAAGTTTGTTTATCTTGGAGTCTAAGACAGAATCTAAACTTTCAGCAAGGCCATAGCTTATATAACAGCATTACTCATTTACTTTTTTAAATTAGAGTATCTTTAGTCTTTGATTAGGGGTTGGAATACAAGTGAGCCTCTAAGGGAAATAACTGCCTTTCCAGGTCCTGAAACTTATCTGAGATAGAAAAACTTCAACTTTGTACCCAGTGACATTTTAGTTAAATATAATTTAAGATTCTATGGATTCCTGTTATACATATGCAAAACAAAGTAAAGGTGTCCTTTCCAAAAATATTCACTTTTATTCCATATTGTTTAAATAGTTTTCAAGAGAGATATTCCAATAGCCTTTATTTTTTTTTCTTCTCTATTGCCAATGGATTTAAATGTTTGCTTCATTGTGGCATTCCAAACACACAAAACTCCAGTGGCTATGGGTTTTATTCCTTTGAGTGAATAGTTATCGTACTTCAAAGACTGCTTTGGATTTTAAGTTAGGGTGACCTGTTTTCATTATATTCAAACAGGCTTTGATCCATTTCTCAATTAGGTATTGCAGATGACAAACAGGTACGTCTAGCTTTCCTGCCATCTAAATTACCCTAGAATTCTATGAAGATGATAATTTGTTCTGTGAGTACACTACTTCTATGTGTTATCCACACAAATTTCATTATTTCAAGTATTGTCTTTTTATGTATCTCTTTTGTGGGGAGACTAATATTCCAATACAAAACTGTGTTCTGTTTTGGGGAAAAAAAAAAAAAGAGCTCTTAGACAGTCAGAACATGAGAAGTTTACCAAAAATAATTTGTCCTCAAGTCTAGTTGATAAAAAGGCCCTATGAGGTTAGATTTATACAATTTTATTGGCAATGACAAAATCTAGAATAAAATATATAATTATTGAGGTACTTACATTTTTAGTATAAACTGGAATAACAAACACATCAACTTTACAAACCTCTCATACTAGTGTCTCACTTTAAAGATATTCTTAGGTCAAATACAGTGGCTCACTCCTGTAGCTGCAACATTTTGGGAGGCCAAGGCAGGAGGATCGCTTGAGCCCAGGAGTTAGAGACCAACCTGGGCAACATGGTGAGACCCCATCTCTACAAAAAATTCAAAAAATTAGTTGGGCATGGTGGCACATGCCTGCAGTCCCAGATACTTGAGAGGCTAAGGCGAGAAGATTGCTTGAGCCTCGGGAGTGTCGAGGCTTCAGTGAGCTATAACCACACTACTGTACTCTAATGAGACCTTGTGACTATATATACATATATATACACACACATATATATATAAAATCTCTCTCTATATTATATATATTATATATTATATATATAATATATATATTATATATATATAATATATATATTATATATAATATATATTATATAATATATTATATATATATATAAAGAAAATATTCCTAAATAAGTGGCTCTCATATGAGCCACAATTTAAGGAATATTTTCTTAAAGGCAGACTTAGAGAGAAATATGAGTCACACTAACACAAAGCATAATCAGCCTAACTCCTCAGTCAAACACCCTGAGGTTCACATTACCAAAGAGAGAGGTTTGAACATGAGGGAAACATATTATTTTCACTATACTGTGATGGAAGGAAATTAATTCTGGTTGTGCAAACCTAGAGCATTTCTCTGAATTCTCTGAACTAGGGTGGATTGTTAAGACCAAGACAGAGTGTGCATAATAACCTTGATGTTGGGAAAAGACTATGCCGTGAGTCTTAAAACAGATCCTAGTTGATGATTATGCCAACCCTGCTGAAGAAATTCTGAAAAGATGCAGAATGCCTTGAAATACAAATGCTTTTTCTGGCCCAGATAATTGATATTGCATTAGAACATTCCATGGGATTTGAACCAGCCTCTTTCACACTTTAGATTTCAGGCTAGTATAATTCCCTCACCACACAAGGCAGAACCGAAATCCCTGAAGTTCAACAGGACGTATCCAATTTCAACAACTTTACAATTTTCAATATCTGTACAGGATTTTTGCAAAAACCCATTTCAAATATCCCATTATCAGTTCCACGTCTTTTTGTGAATACCAAAATATATTAGCTAGACCGTCATCTTATTTTAGCTTTAGAATGTATATCAGATTTTTTTTCCAGACACAAGCAATTAAAGGATTGGAAAATAGCTCATGGAAAGCTCCAAAGAATTGATCCTCAGAGAGCAAATCTTGTAACACCAAACAACCACAATTCCCCTAAGCCACTCTGCTGACAAAAGTTATTGCTAGTTATGCAAGGTAACTAGAAGATATGCACACAAATCATTGCAATTAAATATCCTGCCCACCATATAACTGATACTTGCCGAGCAGATGGTTGGCAGAATTTTCTTGCTAATCTCGTGTTATCAATGTCCATATTGCAGAGCATCCTTGAAGGTGCTCCTCTGTTTGTTTTGTATTGGATACACCTATTTGTATTGTTGTATAGTTATCTGTGCTGTGTGTCTTACCCAGTCTCACCCAGTTATTTTACTTTAGAATCTCATGGGCTGTGTATCGTGAAGACAAACAACCTGTTGGAAATAAACAACAAAGAACTGAATCCCTCTTATCTGTTCGCTGCCTAACAAATCAAAACACACTGAAATCTGGGATTATTAGAGAAGTTTTGGGGATATAGAAATAAAATAAAAACCAGCTTGTCAAATGGGGCTGCCTGCTGCTCAGTACCATGTGTTACCACAGCAAGTTGCATCTGTTCAGCTATTAAACCTGTTAGTGAATATAATATAGACAGCCACGGCATTAACAAATATTCTTAATGCCTATTAAACTCTACAGCTACACATTTTAATTTTTACATTGTATTAGTAAAATTCAAGACTATAGCACCTTTAGGACAATTTAAAAGTGCAATGAAAAAACTATAATTTTGGTTATATCTCACATGCTTAAATTATATTTAGCCATCATTTTAAGAATTGGCCATTTAAAAAAAAGTTCTTTAATTTTTAAATGTGGTTCTCACTGCTAACTGTAATTTAGCTCACTATAGATGCAATAGGACTGAAGTAATTAATCACATGTAGAATTTGAAAAACTCAACTAGGTACATCTTTTTTCCACTACTGAACATCTTACTTCCTTTCGATTTAATATTGGCTATTAGCAAATGCCACAGAACATATGAGTTACTCCCTTGATATAATCCACCCTCTGAGCTCAGGCTCAGGAACTTCGTCATTTAAATTGGCTATCAACAGCTAGGACATGTATGTTTTACTAAACACTTTATAGCAGAATACATCTGTTGCTACTCTGTTTGTTATATTAAGATTAAGCACAATGATGTTGACAGTATTAATACATTTAAAAGCCTGTCACGTTCCATGGTGTTCACGAGTCCTGGGGACTGCAGGATTGAAATAAAAAGTGACTAGAGGCAAAATTAAGAATTATGGAATGTGTAGAAGGTGAAGAACACAGAGGTAGACTCTGAAATGAGTACTGCTACCCAGGAGGATATTAACCTCTTGCCTGCCTGGCTTTTCCCATAATATTGTGAAGCCACATTTTACTGAAAAGAGCCGCATGCTTCATGAAATAGTTATCCAACCTCCTTGGCCTACTGCTGCTTCATGAATGCTGCCAGAATAGGGGAAAGTTTGTGACTGAAGTTAAAGGGGGGTTGGTTTCACCGCTATACTAGTGTAATTATTAAAATGCGAACACACTCAAATTAAATACACCAGAAAGAAAATCATTCTATGGAGCTCAGTTTCCTAAGAAATAATGAGACCAATTTGCTTTTATATGAAAACACTCCAGTTTGTGATATCTTCATACACTGCTGGTGGGAGTGTTCAACAGTACAATGTTCTTAGAGGACAACTCAGCAATATATACATTGGTTCGGCTTGTATGAATTTGTACATAAAAATATGCTTTTACACATGTGAAACGATATTTTTACAAGATTTTAAAATGTTATCCATTTGTAATACTTAAAATGCTGAAAAAATTAAAATACCCATCATTAGGGTCTGCTACCCTCATAACATGTAGCAGATGCATGTTATGAGGTAAATATGAGATCATATGCTCTAAAATGAAAAGATGTACAAAATATATTAAATAAAAATACTCAAGTTGCAGAATAGTATGCACATGATAATATTTCATCTTTTTAAAGAATGTTCAGGTATGTTAGCATATATACAAATCCTTGTACCTATACTATACACAAAAAAGAAATTGAATGTATATGCATAAGATTAAAGATTAGAGTTTTAGACACCACAGTAAAAAAGTGGGTATATTATATGCTGTTTTTACTTTTTACTCCCATCATTGTTGTATTATTTAAATTTTTCAATACAAATTTTTATGATTTAAAAATTAAATTGATTTAAAATATGGGCTTTCCTGAAAAGTAAATACTTTCATCCGTAGGCAACAAATAAAATTCAATTCCTTCTGAACAGCCTGTCATAAAATATTATTGGCCTTCAAGACCCTACAGTATGCCTCACTAGTCTATTGAATCTAGTTTATGTCTGGATGCTTAGAAGAATACCAAAAAATTAGTAAGTTAAAAAAAAAGTTAAATAATATAAATACAGTCTACTGAGAAGGACAAAGTTAAGGAAAAACTAGTTAAATATGGAGTTGATGGTTATAGCATGTTCCTCACATAACAATTAACAATATCTACATAGCACTCTCAAATTCCAGAAACATCCCCAGCCACTGCATTTATCCAACACCCTTCTCAATAACCAGTTACAAATAATCAAATAACCATCGGTCTTGATTTAGGTATTTGGAGGCGGAGCTAGAATTTACAACTTTTTCTTCCCACCTTATGAAATATCTTTGCAATACCTGTTTTTTAAAGATCAAATGAACACAGTTCTGGAGCCTAGACGAGTAGCTGTCTAACCTTACTCTGCGTAATAGGGCTAAAATTTCAACTCTATTTCTCTGCTGATGCTCTATGGGATTTGGAGCCCCCAAAGCCTGATTTTATTCCTAATTAACAGTAATGAACAGATGACATACTTTTCCTTTGAACACCTCTGTCGGGAAAATGTCCAATCAGCAAGAGCTACAAGCAATAGACAAATTCCCTTTCTCTGACCTCATTTACATGCTTAAGTACACAGAGACTCCCCCTGCCTTTAGTTTGGGGTGCGGGGGGAAAGAAGTAGGTCAAGACATTGAGGCTTTATGCATTACCTTTAGAATGTGGTGAAGGCTGAAAGTCATGGCTCCAACCAGAGTTTCCAGAGCAATGTGGGTTACTTTCATATTCATCACACATAAGGCCAATACCCTCCTAGCAGTATTAGTTTAGTTCTACATTTAGGCACAACTCACAAAGCAGCAAAGATACCTATAATTGTACCCATTAAGAGACTTATAATAGAAAATACTATGTGCTATGTCATCACACTTTGTTGTTATTTAGTGCATTCACCTTGAGGGTCACAGAATCTCTGGAATTCCATGTTTAAGGAATATCATAAAATAATACACTACAAAGACTCACTGGTTTCACATCAGTAGTTGGGATTTTATAATCATTTGCAAAATAAGCTGGGCCAGCCTGAAATTTTCCTTTGTACAAAGAAAAATGAAGCTTTGAAGTCATATACAACTGGTTCAAAGACAGGCAGTTATTTACTATCTGTATGATTTTGGTCAATTTATTTATAATGCAGTCTGCTCATTGGTAAAACTGAGATAAAATTCATACCTCAATGAATTATTGTGAATATTTAATAAAATCTAATTTTATGCAAAATGTTTAGATCAGTGTGTGTTCCACAGTAAGCAATCAGTACACTCTAAAGAGTATTGTTTAGTTACCGTTCTTCTGACTAAGCCAAATAATAGGGTAAGCATGATTTCAGAGGGGGAATTTAACCCTACTTCAGATGATTCACTGATAGTACTTCCAAACATTTAATATATATTAATTAAAATAATTTTTACAACTCAACAAATGGAGAACCAATTTTACCTCCCTCAGCTAAGCCAAGTGTTAGAGGTTGGCACAGCAGAAGATTAAAGAGAGAGAGAGAGGGAGAAAGAGAGAGAGAGAGAGAGAGAGAGAGAGAGAGAGAGAGAGAATGGTTAAATTGCCAGGGTAGTGGAGATTGATCATCTCTACATTCCTAATCAATTAGGGAGGATTACTACAGGACAGTTTTTTGTTTGTTTTCATTCTCCTAGTGGATTCTTCTCTTCTCATCAAGTCAGGATGCAGGGAAATATATCACATAAGTTTTTGTGTAGATATTAGAAATAAAAATGATACAGAGAACAGACAAGAAGCATACCTAGACTCAGAGAAATGATCACCTGTGTGTAGTATTTGAATCTGAAGGTGGAGCTAGCCATTAACAAAAGAAAAGTCTTCCTTTCATAAGAAAATAACACAGGAAAAATGAATCCATTTCATGACAGGCCTCAGTCCTCAGGCCTCTGACTTTTGTTTGCCTCAGGAGGTTGTAAATGGGAAGTCCCAGGAGAACATCACGTGCTTTCACGATTATCCTTTGGTACTGTACCTCATACTATGCTCCAAGGAGAGCACTTCTGGAGTGAGCGCCTGCATGACAATGGAAAACTACCAGCAGGAGGGCAAGAGAGGCCACAGTCAAAAGTAAAGCAGCAAGAGTTCACTTATTTCTCCATTCACTCAGGTATGCATTGCTTCCTCTGTAAACCATTACTATGCATCTACTAAGCACCATGCTAGAGTATGAAAATACGGACATGTAAAGATACATAGTATTATACATTGTCAGTGACCCTGAAGAGTTTACAATTTAATGGGCTACAAGGACATATAAAGACATAGTTATAACTACAGTAAGTAACACAATAGGATTAAGAACAAAGTATTATGATTGTACCAAGAAGGGCATAATTAGTCTTGCCCTAGGGGACAAAGGAAGGTTTCACAAATACATAAAATATATAATCCAGGCCTCAAAGATGAATAAAAAAGCACCAGACTAGGAAAAAGAGAAGGACAGGTAGGAATAAGAGGAAGTAGGAGTACTTTAAAGAAAGGAACAGATATGAACAGCGGCACTCTGGAGGTCTCTTTTTGCTGACTCTCATTATTGGTACATTTTTTTAAACTGTGTTTCTCGGTCTTTAAAATTATTTATGCCCCAAACTTACAAATCAAACTAGTTGCAAATGCTAGCTAGCTAACCACAAAATCTTTGGGGTAACTGGCCAGTCAGATAACTTCCTATGTATTTATTTAACTAGAGAAAATGCTTTATGTAGCAGATATCTGAAATGCTCCATAATTTATGTGATATGTGGTATACTAAAGGGTAGGGTTGTTTGACTTCATAAAACTTCATTACACAGACCAAAAGGCAGAGTTATCTCGTTCAGCCTGATGAGGGATTGTCTCCTGAACTCTCACCTGCATCACAGAAGGCACAGTGGTTAAGCACATGGATTTAGGAGTCAGACTGACTGAGTTCAACACTGGTTTTGCAGCTCACTAGTTGTGTGACTTTCATTTCTTCATTAACTACCTGAGTATATATTTTTTCCTTTTGAAGTTTTAATGCATATTAGATGGACTTACATATGTAAACTTAGAACAGTTATGAGACTGTTGATTGCTTTTATAAAAGCCACACTTGTAGACTGCTTCATAGTTTAAAAACTTTTAAGTGTGCTTTTACAGTGTGAGGATTTGAAATATCAGCCTATTTTCTGTGGCTAATGTGCCAGTAGAATAATGATTATGTAGTAAATTATAAGGTACTTGAGGTCAGAAGCCATGCCACATCTGACTGTATTTCTAGTGCTTTGGAAAGTGCTTAGCACTTAGAAGAAAAGGAGGTAGAAGAGAAAGAAGAAGAAGGAGGAGAGGAGAAGCACAAGGAGGAGGGGGAGAAAATTTTGTTAAGAACATGTATTAAAGAGTGAATGTGTGTGAGGTAGAATGTGGAGTAGCTGAAGATGAGGCTGGAAAATAAGTCTAGATTGTGCATACATCAGAGGTCCAGCTAAGGAAGTTGGCCTTTGAAGTATTTGCAGTAGACCACTGGTTCTCTATCAGAACTAGAATCTTGCTTCAAGATACCAATCTATAAATAGGTAACACATAAACTGGAAACATGCTGATAGTTAGCTCAGATTTGTATCTCTAACCCCCCCAAAACACATTTAATATAAACTGGCTTCTGATATTGCCTTTAACCTGAGCAGCACCGACCTATTGCCATTGAACATTTTCAGAACACACATAGTTTAAGTTGGTAGAACTTCCAGAATGCAAAGATTATTTCAACAAATACTGATTGCTCACTTGCTAAATTCTAGGCTCATGCTGGGCTCTAGGAATACTAAAGTGCACGAAATAGATAAAATTCCCTGCTTTCATGACACTTGCTGCTCGGCATCATGCTGTTCAGTATGGATGAAGATTTGCCATCAGAGTTTAAATACTTTAACCTAATTCCAAATTTTGTCTGCTTCATAAAATTGCCAACAAAAAATGCAAGAGTACACAAAGACGGGAAAAAAAAAAAAAAGGAAGTTTGTTGTTGTTATTTTGCCAATTTTTTCCAGACGTTTGACTTTGCTTTGTCCTGGAGAAGTAAATTACTAAGTGTCCGTGTCTATAATTTTAATAAATAAAAATTAGTTTCTCTTCATATGCTATTAAATACACATTGGGAAAAATACTTAAAGAATACTATGAGGGGGCTTCAAATTGACAACTGAACAGGGAGCCCATGCCCATCTCTGACCAGCCTTGCTACCAGGTGAGAGGTGGAAACACACCCTTGCAGAGCAGTGGGAGAAAATGGGTGAAAGGACTGATAGAGTACCAGGATTTGTGCTTTTTTTCCACTGATGAGCAGCTCATAAGTGAGCAAAATTACTGCTGAAAGTGGGTGAACATTATCAGCCAGGTATGTCTTGAACTAAAAGAGGTTGAGACCCACTGTAACTGAACATTTGAAGCCAGAGGTTGAAACACCACAATTTTATTTTATAACAATCATTCTGGTAGCAGTGCAGAGGATGGATTAGAAAGGGAAGATGCTGGAGGCAGAGAGATTAGTTAGAAGGCTATTGCAACAGTTCAAGAAGAGGTCATTAAACTAAGGCAATAATAGTGGAATAAAAAGCAAGCAGATACCTTCTAAAAATTGCTGTTCAGTAGGCAAGCCAGTAGCCATATGTTGAGCATTTGAGATATGGCTAATGTGACCAAGGAGCTGAATTTTAAAATGTATTTAATTTTAATTAAGTTTGTTGTAAGTTTAAAAGATACTCAAACTTTTAAGTATGTTTAGAATAACTTGAGTATGTGAATCTACTTTTACAACTGTAGATATAACAAAATATAAAATGCTTCTGATGGAAAATTTAGATTCTGAAATGAGAGGTGTTGTTAAGTGTACAAGAAGTTCCTTGTTTTGACAGCTTGGCATAAGAAACAGGGTTTGCTAAATGTTAAGTGTAAAACACACATTGGATTTGAAAAGCTTATTATGAAAAGATAATAGAAAACATTAATAATTTATATCATTTATATATTAAAATGATAATATTCTGGGCATATTGAGTTAAAATATATTCTCAAAGTTAATTGTATTTAGTAAAACTAATTCCATCTTTTTTTCCTTTTATATGAGTAGTAGAAAATTAAAACTTACAAACATGGCTCATATATTTCTCTTGGATGGTATAGGTTGAGAGACATGGTAGCAATTCGGTGACAAACTGATTAGATTGTAAAGGCAAGCACGGAGTAAAAGATGTCAAAGATGTAGCCTGTGATCGTGTAGATGAGTGGGTGATTGGGAGATGATGAGTTCAGTTGTTAATGTGGTAAGTTTCAGTCGCCTGTGAGACACCCAGGTAGAGATGCTGAGTAAGCAGTTGGAAATATTAGTATGGTAGTGACAGAAGTCTGGGATGGAGATGTGTCTTTGGGAGTGAGCAGCCGGCACTTATTTGATAGCTAAAATTCAGAGTAAAATTTTAAGTATATGAAGATACCCTTTTTCATAGGCCAAAAGCCTTACTAATCAATTAAATTTGATCTTTCACCAAACTTTTTTGTCTGTCAATCACGAATTTCCATTCTTTATTGGGCAGGAAGGATTTAAGGGCTAAAATTCCAGGAAGAGCCCACCATTAAAGCATTTACTTAGAAGCCTAGTTGCAGTGTGATCTTCCAGGGCAGTTGAGCGTCCCCCATTCAGGGCTGTGCTCTGTTGGCAAAAAGGTTAGACAGTTTTCCAGTTTGTTTTGAGGAGGAGAGAGGCCTCCTCTGTGTTGTCGATATAAGAATCCCTAGTTCTGGTCTAGCACACCATCTCCTAAAGTAACTCCTAGAGACATCACAAATTGTTTTCATCAGAAGAATTTTCTCAGACCCCATAAAAATTATGTCTAGTCCTCCGATTCTAATTTATAATTTGGATTATTTATGTCTACTATTAACTTGAGTACCCCCTATCTATGCACCTAGATTATTTCCTTCCATTGTTTAAATAAACTTGCCCATGTCTAGAGTGGGCCAGCATCAGCATTAATAGGATTCTAATGCTGTAGAATCACCATCATCATCTTGTTTTCTGGTCTTTGGCTGACATATTTACAATGCTGTTTCTATTTTGTAACCGCTACTGCCATGCATTTTGCTTATGGCTTTCAGCGCATTTTTTTTTGTGTGTGTGTGTGTAATAAAAGTAATTTTCCTGATCATTGTGCAAATGACCCATATTCAGTATGTATTCCCCAAACTGGTTCTTAACCCTCAAGCAATGTCTTTGTTTCTTTTTTTCTTCCATCAATCTATATTGTGTTTAGAGTTCTGCAAAGCCTCCTTAATAACGTGCTTGCATATAGTTTAAATTATTGCTCATCATTTCTTCCCGAGACACACAGACTCTGTCTGGATCATAAGGGTAAACATATTGGATATGTTCTAAATACAGGAGTTCTTAACCATTACTTCTTCTAAAAATTCCAGAATAACTAAGATGCTCCTGGATTCCTAAGTCAGTGTAAGATTATAAATGTTTGCTCTTTTAAGCTTCTAAATTATGGAAAAATTGGTTACACAGGAACTAATCACACACATTATAAATTGCATTATAGGTGATCAAAAATAATGTGTTTATTTTGCCTAAAATGTTTCTTAAAGGTACGCTTTTGAAAAATAGTTAGTAGCTATAGAAGAAATTGTGGTATAGTCAGTAGTCAGAAAGAATTCAACAAGAAGTTCCTTGTTTTGACAGCTTGGCATAAGAAACAGGGTTTCCTAAAGCCACTCATCACTGGCTAACTTAAGAATAGATTTGAAGCCATTCTATAAAATAGCTTGGGGCCCACCACAAAGCAGTGGGTCAAAAGGAGTAGTGATCACAGGATGGAGCAGAATCAATGGACATGATTTTCTCCAGCTAGGTAATGTCCTAGGAATTGTTTCTGCAACTCTTCCAAAGAGATTCCGGAGACCTAACTTCTTTCTGCTAGCTTAGGAGGTGAAAAGATCCAGGACCAACCCTGAAAACACTCACTATTTGAAAAAACTGTTCAATGACTGAGTCAAATCTATATAGTGAGAGAGAATGGGAAGAAATCTTTTGAACAGGAATTAGAAATAGAGAGATGACAAGAAGCTCATTTTTTAAAAAAAGTTAATATGTTTCACTGGAGTTGAAAGATAAGTAGAAAAATGGGAAAAATGGACACGAAAAGGGAAAGAGATCAAAATGCTGAAGACATTAAATTTTAGGTACAGAATTTGCCTTTACCCATATATAATTGCAGCGGCATCAATGTGTTTTAACAAAGGAATAATATGATCAAAGAACCAGATTAGCAAATTAACCTGCCATAAGTATATAAAATGGATAGAAAAGTACTCAGAATGGAGACAGAAGGATAGCTGAGAAAGTGAGGCAGCAGTACAAGCCTCTAAGTGGTAAGTATGTGAACCGAGAAGAAGCTAGAAATAGCTGTTTTGTTCTCATTTCTTAAATTTCACAGCAATAGAATTTCAGATGAGGAAATAACTCTAGAATTCTAGAAACCAAAAACATAGAGATTAAATGACACACTAAAGATGATGACCAGTAATTTAGAAGTTGAGAAATTGAATTAACTTCCAAGGGAAAAGGATGAAGGTAGGAATCTGTATTGATTCATTTACCTCTCCTACCTCCCACATAATAAACTATTTAGCACTTAAGCCAATAGAAATGTGACCATCATTTCTCACATTTTCCCCAAAAATGACTTTTACACCTCAGAAGTTTGGACAGTAATTTTACAATACATGGTGAAAAGGCATTATTTAACCCATCTTTTGAAATTGTAGTAAAATAGGCCACATGTTCTCTAATTCATATAAGAATTAGGAAAGCTACCTCGTGATACGGCAATAGAAAAAATAAATAAATGAATGTAAAAGAACTAGGAAAGCAAAACCAAGCAATATATATACAACATATGATTTACAGGACTGAATCTGAATACTATATGGCAAAGTTAAACCTCTATAAAATCAGTGCATCTGTTGATTAGAAAGAGTATTTCAAATGGAACATAATTTCTATTCAAGGAAAACCCTGAGGGGAAATAACTGGGTTTATCTTGTTGATATAGGTGTGCATCTATGTATAATTACTGACTTTAAAAAGGTATTTCTGAATCAAATCTTAATAGACCAGCAAGATAAATAATGTATAATGGAGAGAAGCAGAGAAAGATGAGAAAGACTTGACACGTCACCAATATTGGTGTTATTTTGGGACATGTAATATTTACTATAAATACACTGTTTCTAGTCTACACTAAAACCAATGATCAAAAGGCATATTTCTAAATCAAAATCAATTAAGAGCTTGGTTTCAAAATAAGGCTTCCGGCCCAGCAAAGTACAAAGAAGCAACACTTAAGGCAAAAATGTGCAACAATTCACTCATCAAATTTGCAATGCTCTTTTATGCTCCCAAGATGAAAGGATTTCAAAACACACTCTTCACTCATCCCCTCCTCCACCCTCAGTGACATTTCCTCTGGTCAGAACCAATGCACATGTTAATATTTGTGGTAGTGAATGCATCCAGATTTATAGTGACTTTCTTCTGTCAGAGAGGCATTAAGTAATTTCCAAATGACATCACTAAACTGCTATATGAGCGCTTTTCTCTAGAAGTGACAACATTGGTAAAATTTCTAGATATATCTTATATAATATAAAAACTTGAGCTAAATTTTTCTTATTGCTTCTAAGAAATTATTTAAGTCATTATCAGTTAAATAATCCTCAACACATCGTAACTTAAACATGTCTTGTGTAACACTTCACAGTTTGCAAGTTATTTCTTTATATTCTTTATCTTAAAAATCTATTATTTGTTAACTGTCCACACAAATACTATACAAGTAAGAAAGTTAAAACTGTAAGGAAGAGAGATGAAGAAATATCAAGACAGAAAAATACCAAGAAATACCAGTCATTTGGGGACAAAATGTTTGCTATAAATCATATAAGTTAACTGGATCTCAGCTAGCTTGTTCATTCATTCATCCAACAAATATTTATTGAGGTGGTTACTAAACAACCAGCTCATTTATTTTTGTATCCACAGAGCCTAACATAGGCCTGGGTCATATTAGGTGCTAAATAAATATTTCTGGAGAGGCTTCTAGGATGTACTGAAGTAAATGATGAAAAGTCACATTACTGTATTATTTTTCTTTCTTTTCTTTTCTTTTTTTTTTTTTTTTTTGAGACGGAGTGTCACTCTGTTGCCAGGCTGGAGTACAGTGGCACGATCTCGGCTCACTGCAACCTCCACCTTCTGGGTTCAAACGATTCTCCTGCCCCAGACTCCCAAGTAGCTGGGACTACAGGCATGTGTCACCACACCCAGCTAATTTTTGTATTTTTAGTAGAGATGGGGTTTCACCTTGTTGGCTAGCATAGTCTCCATCTCTTGACCTTGTGATCTGCCAGCCTTGGCCTCCCAAAGTGCTAGGATTACAGGCGTGAGCCACTGAGCCCGGCTATTTTTCTTATTAATCATCACCATTATTATAAATCATGTTCTCTGCCATCAGAAAGTTTATTTCTATTTGTAAATAATGGACAGATATAAAATAACTAGAGAATAATTCATGATAAAAGTGAATTACAATAAATAAGGCAATTATTAACAAAAAATAAACATTCATCCAACTAAAATTTCACCATAGACTTTCTTTAAACCACCAATCACCATAACCAATTCTTAGTTGAAGATTTCTGAAAACTACCTTTAAGATTTGAAGCTTCTCAATAATATGGCTGCTTATATCAAGTTCTATACTTTTCTGTATTGTAATCAGGAACCTGGAGGACTTTCTCAGAGTTATATAGAAATTAAAATGTCTGTCACTTTACTTGACTGTTAAATAATTGAAGATCTACACTCATCCTAAGCCACAGTATTTTCAATGTATAATTTATTAAATCTATTAAATTCTTTCAGAAAATATTTATTGAGCACTCATATTCTAGGTACTATACTAATTAATTGCTCTTCACTTCATGTCTTACCTTCTCCTCACCCCTTCATAAAACCTTAACAATTTCAATAGTAATATTATATGACTTTGAGGTTAACAGTGGTAGCATCAATATTAATATGACAAAAAAATCCATCTATCAAAACTGGGCCACCTGACTCAAAAACCATTTTATTCCAAGTTGTTATGTTTTTAAGAGTACAGTTAATCAAAATTTTTAAAAATCCAACATTTTTATTCTGAAAAATTGGATGACAAACCATGTCAAATATTCAAATCTTCATTAAAATTATATGCCAATCAGATTTTTTAAATTATCTAATTTAAATAGCAGTATATATTTCAGCAATGATGGAGCATCTCTTAATGCAATCAACTTTCTAATTTATTGGCTTACTCTATCAAATAAGGATGAAAATATTAAATCTGATCAGTACATAGTATACTTCACTGACTTTGAAAGCTTACACAAATTTTCCTTGAAGTTTAATGGATAATGAATAAGTCTAACTTTTACAGATAAAAATGTATCATTGATAGCATAGCACCAATTAGGTTAATTTTTAAGTCAGTTATATTCACAAACCTAAATCATAAGCAATAATCTAGAATTTATAAATCTTATTTTTCCTTTTAAATTTCAATAATGAAAGAAGTAGAACAATTTATTGGGCAAACCAAAATGGACTCAAAGATACCTAAATAATTTGATAAAACAGCCTTTCAATATTCTCAAATCTAAATATTAAGAACAGTTCTGCTTCTATCACCCCCAGGCATTATCTTGTGTTGCTTTGCACTTTCTTTGTTCCTTTCTTCCCTCCCTTTCTTTCTTTCTTCTTTCCTTCCTTCCTTTCTTCTTGGCTTCCTGTCTGGTTTTCATTTTTTCTTTTAATTTCTAATTCCTCTTTCTTTTATTATTCCATGCACCCAACATTTTGGGAAAGTGCTGGAGGTAAACTTAGGTAGTAAAAAGAAAACCACTGGCCTTGTGTTAATTTTTATTATATGCTTAAAACATGGAAAAAGGCCGGGCACGGTGGCTCATGCCTGTAATCCCAGTACTTTGGGAGGCAGAAGCAGTTGGATCACCTGAGGTCAGAAGTTCAAGACCAGCCTGGTCAACGTAGTGAAAACCCGTCTCTACCGCATATACAAAAATTAGCTGGGCGTGGTGGTGGGCACCTGTAATCCTAGATATTTGGGAGGCTGAGGCAGGAGAATAGCTTGAACCCAGGAGGCAAAGGTTGCAGTGAACTGAGATTGCATCATTGCACTCCAGCCTGGGCAACAAGAGCGAAACTTTGTCTCAACAACGACAACAACAACAACAACATGGAAAGAAATGACTTATCTCCACATCAAAGACTTGTTGAGTCTGTAATGTCTAATCACCTCTTCTAGGCAATGGGAGAAAGAAAATTTAATTTGACCAGATTTGAACTCAGACTGAGTCCCATTAGTTGATAAGGAGTGGGTAGGGCTGACAATAAACAGTATTTGAGAAGCCCAGGAGGACACGGTTTACGAGCAAGGGAGATTTTGAAGATATCAAGTCCAAGAGAAAGGGTGTGTAGAGACATGCACTGAATCCAAAGAGAACGACCAGGCAAGACCAAGATCGGAGATTCAGAAAGAAGAAGGCCTTCACAGTGCAGCTATCAGAAATCCATGGCTCGTAAAGGAGATATGGAGGGTATTACGCTAGAATGGACGCCGAGAAAGTCAATTCTTTACTTATGACAGGACCCTAAGACCACATTTGACCAGAATTGGAAAGAAATACCTATTCTTGCAGTCTAAAACTCTTTGACCATAAAATAAACAACAGTGGTTTGAGTAATTCAATAACACAGCCCCTTGTGATTTGAGAGTGATCATTGTAGAACCTTTTCTCAGAGTAAAAGTGTAATTGGTTATGGATCAATAAGTAATTTATTTTAGAAGGAAAAGGCCCTTGTTTTCATTTTTATTTATTTATTTTTTGAAGTAGCAAAGCTCTTAAATCAGAACGGAGCAAATACATTTTGAAAGTTGAGCTTACTCTAAACAGCAAGATTCCTTACTGTACTAGTAAAATTTATCTTAACTGATCATTTATTTATGATGCCATAAAAATCCAGATGTTCTTAATTTTGATTGTTAGAAATTTGCTAAAAGGCACCTGAAATTACTTTTCCAGAGTTCCCCTCTTGAGAACTACATTTTAAATTGAAATTTTACTATGGTTCAATAATGGCTGTGCTGAGGGGTTTTGTTGTGTTTTTCAAGCTTATCAATGAATTCAGCCCTTGTGGTCAGTGTAAACTCCTACACAGCTTATTGGAAATTCCAGAATTCTAAGGCAAAATTAAGATTAAGAAAATAGTTTAATAAAAACAGAGAATTAAAAACTTGTAAAAGTTTGTGCTAATGTACTTTGGTGTTTCATGTTTTTCTTAATTATTTTAGAACTGGTACCCGATGACCACTTTCTAACAGGAAAGAACATGATGACCTAATCAAATGTCCTTTGGAGAGTGAGCACTGATAGAAGGAGAACTTATAGGGAAAGACAAAACAAAATAGAACAAACTTCCATGGTCGCTTAATGCATGGGAAATAAACAGAACCTCAAGGATAAAAAAGAGGATGGGGAGACTTACCTGTTTCTTCTGAAATCTTCCAAAAGATAGACTTTAGACCAAGAACTATGATAATAAGAACCCTTTAGAAAAGTTTTTGAATATGTGACACACTACGATTTTTTGGATATATCAATAAAATATTCATATCTCTTAATAAAAGACACTGTGCTTCTTTACAAATAATGCAAGAAAATGAAGATTTAAAGAGTTGCAAACATACTCATTAATAATTTTTAAAATGCAGAGAAATAAGTGCCCCTGAACCCTAAAGTTAATTATGGCAACTTTCAAAGGAAAATGAAGTTTTTCATTCATGACTATTCTTTGCTATCTATTATATGCTGAGTAAATTACTGTGGGAGGCTTACAACTTTAGAGAAAAGAGAATGGGCCCAGGATGTAAGTGGTAATTATGAATTAAAATGTATTTTCCTGACACGTATCAAAATGAGTACAAAATGGCACAGAAACAATCTTTTTGCCATCTTGTTTCACATCCCCAAGTATCCTTAAAGTATACTTTCGTTCCTTTTATTTCATGTAGCTTCAGATAAGTACTTTCTCTAGTGAGCAAAGAAATAAAGACAGAATCCAGATCTTTGGATGTCACCAGTATTACAACCTCCTGCTTCCAGCCAGATGGTGTGGTATCTACTAGGCAATAACTTATTTTATTCATTTGGCAAGTCTGCCTAAAGACACTAAAATCACTCCAAAATTTTTTTAAAAATTATTTTGAACACAGAATTAAGAGGAATTCACACTCCAAAAAAAAAAAAAAAAAGTTTGCATTGTAAAGAACGCGATTAACTACAGCAATAGGTATATGGTCTTATTTCCTCTAGATTGTATTCATATTTCCTATAACAAAGTACTGGTTTCTGGGGGAAGGAAGCATCCAAGAAGCAAAATTATAAATTCTTTACAAAAAGTTAACAGTAAAAAGTAAAAGCTGAATCTTATGCAAAAAGTACTTACTATATGCAGTTCTAGGTAGTCACCCAAGCCTGAAGAACTGTCCACTCGCACCAATACGGCTTCTTTCTGAACAGTGCTAAAACCTATGGCCAGTCTGTCTGCTCGTGTACTGGGTCGGTCATTAGGAGGCCACTTATACGTGATTTGTCCACCACCTTTGCTAAAGATATATGTCGTCCCAGCTGGAAAACAAAAACCAAAACCAATTAGTCCAAATACATCAAGTCTGCACATTAGCAAGGCATGTTATATTGATATATCAGTAAAGTATCAACTCTACACACAAAACTATGGCAAAGTAAATCATAGATTTCAATCAAATGTGCTCAAGAAAGTGGACCAAGTTGTTTTAAAAGAAATGGAGAGGTAGCTCAGTTTTTAATACACTGATTCAATTTACCAGTAGGTGTTTCAGAACAAATAGTAGGTTATTGTGTTTTCCATTGAGTTGGACAAGAACGGAATGTAATGAGGCATTATCTCTTCCTGCCAGTTTTTAAGAAATAGTTTAGTAGAAAACATTGACTGGATGCTTCCAAAAAGCAACAGCAGCACACATCAACTTGGTATTGAAATAGGAGCTGCATGCAGATGTGACAGGGTCATACAGCACAGTGGAGAAAGTCGCAACAAATGTGCTAGGAATGTAACTTTTATGGAAAAAGGATCTACTTACATGTGACAGATAACTAATGGATGAATAGCCACAAGCCCCAGTAGCCATGTCAAGAAAATACAGATAATAGATGTCATCCCTAGAAGTCAGGTTTTGTTTAACAAGCAACATCTAGTAGCTGTCAAACTATTCAGAATCATAAAAAGACCCACATCCTCTGCCACCCCAAGGTGAATACAAGCCTTATAGCACTGAGAATAATGTCACGGACTCATTCTGTGAGTGTTCAAATTTTACCTTATGGTTGTCTGGTCAGTAAATTATCCAGCTTAAATGAAAAGAGTCTTTTTCAAACAAATTTATTCAGCATTTGATATGGTTTGGCTCTGTGTCCCCACTCAAATCTCATCTGAAATGGTAAACCCCATAAACCCCATATGTTGAGGGCAGGGCCTGGTGGAAGGTGATGGGATCATGGAGTGGCTTTGCCCATGCTGTTCTCATGATAGTGAGTTCTAACAAGATCTGATGGTTTTATAAGTGTTTGACATTTCCTCCTACACACACTTCTGTCTCTCCTGCTGCCTTGTGAAGAAGGTGCCTGCTTCCCCTTCTACCATGACTGTAAGTTTCCTGAGGCCTCCTCAGCCACACAGAACTGTGAGTCAATTAAACCTCTTTTCTTTATCAATTACCCAGTCTCAGGGAAGTTCTTTATAGCAGTGTGAAAATGGACTAATAGAGCATTTGGTGCACTAGTCTTACCTCAATGCATCATTCATTGGCCACCCATTTTGGTTCTATTATTTTGAGGTCCTGAATAGAACCAAAAAAGAAAGAAAAAAGATTGGATTTTCCCTCTGTCTTCTTCTGACTGCTTAAAATGGGACATTGTTGTTTTCCTGCCTTTGCAGCTTCTTGTTCTCATGCCTTCAAACCTGGACTAAAATCTACATCGTTGTTTCTCCAGTTGTCAGTCCCATAATCGATACCCCTAGCTTTTCTGGTTCTCTAACTTGCAGACAGCAGATCATATATGATTTGATCATATATACATGATTATACATAATAAGAGAAAATATGAAAACTTAGGCCACAAAACTTCTTGTATTTATAGAAAAATAGCTTGTACCAAGAGTAACATTTATGTGTAAAAGTTGTGTGTACAGCAGTATGTTTTGAAGAAAACTATACATTGAATTGCCATGATTACCAAGTTTACCAGTTAAATGGAGTTGACCTACTATCACATTTGTGTACATTTAATTAAACAGCTGACAATATTGATTTTGTGGCCATTTTTGGAAGCAACTCTTCTTTGTTTTCTGTTACAGACATTTCCACAGGCCTTTGAGAAATTCCAAAGACCTCTGCAATATGCCTATTGTACCTGATGCTTAAATAGGACTTGGTATATAGACCTCTTCCAAGAAACATGTTAGGAGAAAATTGAATGCAAAAGTGATAAACATGAATACTGTTAAAATGCAAAGCTATAGAGGCTGTACCCTTCTCTATTAATTTTGCAGATACCAATGCATGAAAACAGTTTATCTCTTTCAAGAGAGAAAAGGCAAGCCATATTTCAAAAGCACCAGTCAGTGCACAAAGAAAATTCAGAATATACAGAGTGTAGATCAGAAATCCCAGGGCTTTCCTGAGCCACTTATGTTCTACATCCTCAGAAGCTTGTTCATCATAATCTTTATAGGCAAACACTATTTGAGAAATATTTTTCTGCCTGGTAATTTTTGCAAATGATTAAGTATTAACTTTTCTAGTGAAGCCCATTGTTGATAAAAATAGGACAAGAACATAAAAAAGTGGAGATGGCTTTAAAAGGAGGATGTAGTGGTTATCTCTGAGTGCTGATACTTAATAATTAATTTTTTTCCTTTTTTAAATTGGCTTTGTTCTCTAATGACTATATACATTATGTGAAATAAGAAAAATATTCAAAACTAGAGATGCTATTTAATGATATAAAACAACACATATCTAAGAATTCAGATGGTTTAAGAATTATATAAGTGTGAGGTAAGCATTATAAAACAACATTGCATATTAATTTTTAACTTTAAACATCACTTTCACAATTAAAAAAAATCTTATCTACTTATTATGGAACATAGGGCAGACATTACTTCCATGCTATATCTGAGGAAATTTAGTCATAAAGATTAACGTGCTATCTAAAGTTGCAAACTTGGTTAATTGGCAGAGTTGGTATAAAACCCATATCCTGATACCTATTCCAGTATATATATATATATATATATATATATATATATATATATATATATATATATATTTATGACAGAAATATTTCTGTTATCATAACCAGGCAGTCAAGAAAAAGTTAATTGGATGTCAGTCTGAATTTATCAAGGCCAACTGTTATCATATTCTAATGTCTTATATCCATAAAGTGACATTTGCTCTTCATTATCATATACTTTCTTCTCACCTCACAATACTTTTAAAAAGAGAAAAATAACATCTAAATGTAAAATGACAGAACATTTAATATATGTAGATTAACATTTAGTTGGGGTACACTTCCCAAACCTATGGAACTATGAAAGTTTCTAGCACAATTATAGAACTTGTGGGTAATAATTTGAAGTTTTACACTTTCAGTAAGATAAGTGTCACAATACAAATACCATTACTCAAGATTTGATTTCTTCTCAGATTTTAACCTTTTTCAATGAATCTAAAACTTGATGACTAGAATGAGATTAGCTAATCTGTCTTGTTTAGAATGACTTTACAGTTTTTTAGGTTTCACCAAAACAAAGCAAAAAAATCGCAACTACTGTTTGTCAAACATTGCCATTATTTCTAGTTTCCTTTTTTCCCACCAGATATATCCTGAGAGCAGTCTTTCTTAGTTTTTCTTCTGTATGCACAGTAGTGCATTGTATTGTACTCATCAGCACAATTTTATAATAAGCGAGACAATTAGATATCCAGTCCTTCCTCAGCTCTCTTCTACATACTTCTATAAGCACTCTGGATTTTTTTTAAAAAATTAACTTTGCATCAAACTTTACAAAATCTCCTATATTCTTAAAGCCCTCTTTTCACTGAGCTAGAAAATTACTCTCATAATCAAATATAGTGGGTTAGATGGCTTAAAGTTTCAAAATCTACCTCCTTTAACACACATCTTTCTGAACCAAGGACATGATGTACTTACTGAAGCAGAATAGCTTAGAGATTAAGAATGTAAACTCTAGACTCAGAGAGATCTGGGTTCAAATTCCAACTGTGTCATTTACTAGCTATGTGACCTTGGTAGCCATTTATTCTGTATTGGGATTCCTATTTGAAAAAAGATGGGGATAGCAACACTATCTTATAGAGCTCTATCAGAATTACATGAGATATTACAAAGTAACATTTAGTCCATTTCCTAGTATGTGATAAATGCCTAATAAATTTTAGAGAGAATAGGTGTCATGTGTGAGGGCAGTTGTGTGTGCTGTAAAAATATAAAATAATGAACACTGTAACATTGTTTTATTTTAATATGAAAGCCTTCAGAAAAGTTGGACATATTTCAAAGTTATGTCCAAATCAAGTGACTTTCAAAAATGACATTCCTACCTCGTAATTTTTATTAATATTTTCAATATTTTGTAGCACAGATTAGGACTTTTATGTAAACTCATTATATCATTATTTATGTTCAGTAATAGTTGACAATGGAAGGAATATTAAATTGTATCACATGGGAGCTTTCATGAGAAAAAGAATATTAGCTCATCACCATAAAACATCTAGCATAGTAAGATTTATAGCATAATGCAAAAAAAAAAATCACTTGACCATTAAATAAAGACCAAACTTACCAAAAAACCCTGCCAGCTAGCTTTTTAAAAATTTTATCTTTACAGAAACATGTTTTATTTTACTATATAAGTGAGTTAAATATGCAGTGGCAGTACATCTTAATCACAGTTCCAATATAGAGAGGAACATAGAGGAATGTGTCACCTTTATTATTTATGCATGTTTCTATATGGCAAGCACTACCACATCAGTACCATGACTACTAATGGATTTACTGCAAATTAACCTTGACATCCATCAGATCGCTGAATGTATGAATGACTGAAATTTAAAGTGGTTTTCAGCAATCTCCACATTTAAGCTGTGCAGCAAGCCTCTATTACTCACTCTAAATTCATTAACAAAGCTGGCTCTATCAGACACAAATTTAGCAATGTCAACATACTTTACACTCCAATAAATGTTTGTAAAAAATATACATGGGCTCCCGTATCTCTTGTTTAAACTGCCTGTGATGTTATAATCAGGGAATATTTTTAGATCTTATTGAACATGCTATTTACATATAGGGCTCTCTCCCTTCTTGTTCTTTCTTGCCAACTGTCCCTTGCCTAAGTGTGCCCACTTCAGCCTCACGTCAATTCTGCAAAGGCTAACATATTCCCTTACATAGATTGAAACTTTCTGAAAAAGAAAACCAATCAGCATGTACAGGTCTGCTCAATTATTGGTTGCTCTGGATCCTTGCTACATGAACAATAATATAATTAACTTCGGAGTAGATTAGCTTCTAACTCATAACATAAGTATATGAATAAAAGGTTACTTTTTGAAAGCCTATAATTCTTCAAATGTCATCTTGTAGCCAACACGAAACATTCAGGCAATTATGTTTCTATTAATAAATGTAACAGGAATATAACACTTCCTTCAGTGAAAGTTTACAGTGAAAGCCAGGTACCCAGATGAATATTAAAAGTAAAGCATTTGTAAGTAAGGGGAACCTTTATTCTTTCTACAACCTTTTCCAGATGCTGTTGTTAATTTGAAATTTTCTGGAGAATTTCTACCTATATGGAGGAATTCTTTGGCTTAAGGTTCATAAAAAGCAAAAGCACAGAGAAGACCACATTGTATGCAAAAAGAGTTTTAGATCAGGGCAACATTTCTAAACTGATGAAACAGAATCTTAACAATCACTAAAACAATAACAAGTAAATACACTTTATTTTCCTTCTGAATTATTGTAAGTTCTTTGTAGAATCATAAGGAATTATTTCATGAAGCTGAGCACTATAGGTTCCTAATTACTAAAATTTCATATAGGCATATTAAAAATTCAGAAAAAGTGAACATCTTAGGAGAAGTTAATGGAATCAAGTAATGAGTTTCTACCTATAATATGTAACCACTTCTAGATTTAAAAATTAATTACAATAATTACTAATATTGAGAAGTAAGGCACAGCCCTCAATGTTACATATGCATGTAAGGGTGCAAAGACAAAGATGCCAGGAAAAGAAAAAGAAAATATGGACTATATATCATAAATTAAGACTTCTGGTGGGAGGGGCAGACAACAGAATTGGCAAATGTGTTATAACTAGCTAAAGAGATTGGAGAATTAGACAGATTTTTAATCACATCTTTGAGAAAGAGAATGCATATGCTCTTTATAAATGAAAGAAGGCAAGAAACATGACATGTCACAGAAATGGTTTAGGCACAGGTCCCATATTCTCAATCAGGTCGAAACAAAAAATGTCCAGAAGAATTTAGATAATTCCCAAATAATGAAAGCTTTATGGAAATAGTTAAGGATGATATTCAAGACAGCAACATAGGTCAACAGATACAAAGTTACGGTTAGATAGGAAGAATGAGTTCTGGTGTTCTGTTGCACAGTAGGGTGACTATGGTTAATATTATTATATTGTAAATTTCAAAATAGCTAGGAGAGAGGATCTGAATGATCTAACAACAAAGAAATGATAAATATATGAGATGATGAATATGCTAAACATACCGATTTGATTTTTACACAACATATATATGTATTAAAACATCACTATAAGTGTGTACAATTATAACATGTCAATAAAAACAAAACACAATAAATAAATTTGAAAAAAGAGAACAATGGGAAGTTTGTCATATATAGCAAATTGTATGTTCTGTCAAAACTCTAGGCTAAAGCATTTTTTAATTATTAATTTTTTATTAAATAAAATTAAGTTATTAAATTTTAAAAAATACGTTGTTGACTACTTATTAAGTCAAATGCAAACTGAGCAAGACAGGGAGACTCAAACTTGTGAGCACACTATTTTCTTGCATTGGAATTTCATGAAAGTGATACTGTCTAGGATCACTGTCCACACACTATTCCACCAAACACCAATCATAAATTTGGTTCAAGTTAATCCAAAAGATTCTTGAACTCTTGCAAATCAGACACTGTCATACCTCCAGTATCCAGGAGGACTCATTAGGTGTTAACAATTAAGGTTTTCCAAATTTTTAAGGGGATCAGAGGAGGGTGAACCAGCTAGACTCCACGGTAGACATTGGAAGTCTGAAAGCAGAAGAGTATTCCTCTTCAATAAGCCAGCCCATCTGAGATTAGGCTCTAGCCCAGCCAAGATACCATTTAAAAAAAAATTGTGTGTGTTTACTCAACAAGAAATTTTAATCAAAATAAAACAATTGAGAAAATGAAATAACTAAAAGTTACTGTGATTCCAATGAGGTCAAGAATCATTTCTCTCAAATATAATTTCAATAGTAATTATGCGCTTCAATAAAAAATGAATTTACCTCTACCTATTGGCCCAAAACTTTTCTCTAATAAAAATGTTTTTCTAATAAATGTTCTACATTTTCTATATTCTCTAATAAAATTGCTATATCTTAGAAAGAATTATATATTCATAAATACATTTTATCACATTTTGATGTTTATAAAAAGAGTATGGTACATGAAAATAAAGTATTCATTCTTCTAAAAACAAGTGTATACCACTCTAATAAGTGAAATAATTATTTAAAATGTAAATAGATCCATGGCTGACCTATCTTGTCAATATCCTAGACATTCATTCAGAAACACCACCAATAGCAGCAAAGACTGCACACTGGACAATCAAATATGCACCATTCATATAGAATGAGATGTTAATGATGTTCATTGGTGTCGTATAAAACTATGACTCTACATAATCAATGATCAATGATTGATAGAGATTGTGCTGATTTGAATAAGTTATTCTCTTTTTTTTCTGACATTATAAGGGCATTAACTAACATAGAAAACATTTCTAAGCCTTCCTATCTCTTGATTTGCTGATAAGTGCCAACTGTGTGAAAGGAGCTAAGAATATAAATTCAGAAACAGCCTTTTCTCTTCAGCAGATAGGATCTGTTCATTAAAGGTAAATATTAGGGCAAAATAGTTTGTGTGAGATGTCAGAAAAATGGTGGTGTTCTGTTGCACAGTAGGGTTACTATGGTTAATATTATTGTATTGTAAATTTCAAAATGGCTAGAAGAGAGGATTTGAATTTTCTAACCATAAAGAAATGACAAATGTATGAATATTTGTCAAATATTTGACAAATATATGTTATTCAACCATGTTATCATCTATTTTGGATTTTTAAACTGCTTTTTAAGAAGGTGATAATATTAAAAGCACTGATTAATGAAAACCTAAGATTATCAGAAAAAAATGATAAGAAAAATCTATGTGTGTATATGTATTTTCTTTTAGGTCAAAGTCATGTAAATAGTTGAGTAGTTTGAAATAATGTTCAACCCAATGAACACTACTTTTAAAAATGTATGCAATAAGTGGTCCACTTAGTGGTATCTTTGCAATATATTTTCTTTTACAATCTACTTATTATTTTCCTGGCAAATGTGTCATTTAGAAGTATCCCCTCCAGGAACAGTTGAGTTCAATAGTTTGAGCTGCCCAGAGAGACAAACTTGTTTTGAGATCAAATTCAAAGTCCTGGGAACTGCTTAAAAGGCTCTTGGTCCAGGTTACCTGGCTGAGTAGAAAAACAGGTAAGTAGTAGAACTTTTGCCAATCAGATCAGAAAAAATTCCATAAAGACAGCAAAGTGATCTAGAATTAAAAATAAAACAAAGCAAAGTAATCCCACAACCAATAATCCTAAGAACATCAAATGCTTATGTCTTCCCTTCTGAAACTAGGCTCCCTCCAGCAGTAGGTGAACTTTATTAAAAAGTCTCTGGCAAGTAACTCAGTAATCAATTTGTATTAAAGCTATAGGCAGCAGGGATAGGAAGAAAAAGAATCACATCATCAGGAACTTTAAGAAAAATCTATTTTGAAGAGCATAACCTAAGTGTGCATGTTCCCAGTAAACTCTTAAAATTATTAGCTGGTCGGTAGAAGTTGTAGTTGCCTAGCAATGTCCTTTAACTTACTTATTTCAAAGGTTAATTGTGAAAATGGCTTTCATTAGGATTCAAGAGTCAAGAATTTTCTTTACTATAATTATGGTCTAAAAAATGTCCAGTTTAAAAAAAAAAATGACATAAACATAGAACTTACTGCCGAAATACTCTTGGAGAAAAGTGAGTAAATTTTCCAATTTACAAATAACAAAACTGAGGCACAGAGAAACCAAGTGTCTTCTCAATGTCAAACAGATGGGTGCAGGCTTGTACTTAACTCTATTCTTAGTGATTTTTTTTTTCTATACAACAAAAAGCTAAGCTCAAATGACTAATTCTTATTTAGAAAAATAAATTATAATTCACAAATCAAGGTCTCATTTCAATCATTTTAGAGTTTTTCTAATGATGCTTCCCTAGTCTGATTTGGGGAAAGTTTCTATAATGACACTTAACAGAAATGATTCACTCACATTCTGACATTTTTAGAGTCTATCCTGAATCTTTAAAAGGTGTGAGGTATCTGCAATGCTTTATTGTAAACATCCTCTCTAAGCAGCCATCCAAGCCTTTGGCTTATTCTGAAGCTTCTAAATTGTGGACCAAAGCTACAGAAGACAAATTTTCCTTATTTTTACCACAGTCACTTTTACTCTATACCAGAAAGGCTTTATGACTTTTTGGCAGTGACACTTCTTTTTGTCCTTAGCAATGGAATTAAATCCTTAATACAAAAGAATAGGTATTTATTTTGAATTATTTGCATCGCATAGTTAAATAGAAGGGACCATGCAAACAATAAAATTTGTAGTAATTTTAGGCTAAAACCAGAACCTTAACTTTTGTTTATTTCCTAATGTTAGTTCTACTCATTTATCTTCTTCCTGCCTATCTGCTATACTTAAGTCATTCTTTACCTGACTAGGCCCTCGTCAAAACCATTTACTAATTATTTTGGACTGGAACAGAAGGGAATATTAGTTTTTGACTCAGAAATTATCTCAGACTAAGCTCTAACTGGATTTACCTAGGCATTCACAAATGCAATACACATTCTCCTCTCAAAGTCACTTTTACTTCTGCTGGTTTAGGCTTCTCTGCTGCACCTTGATTTCTTTTGTCATGCTTTCCACATTCATTCCAGCCAAGGTTAATTCTCGCCTTTCAACATCCACTAACTTATTTTTAATTTTTGAACTATTATAATATATGAGAATTGTCTTTTATTGAAATATCCATTTTAAAAAGTATGCATCCTGAAGAAAGGGATCTTGCTTTAATTCTAGGTATCCTTATAAAAAATTATGTGCTTTTATTCACTTACTAATTATTAATAATGACTAATACACTCCTCAAGCTAAGTCAGGACCACTGATTCAATGATGAATACCATAAGACTCCTGATTCTGAAACAAGCATAGGAAAGATTTATTTATGTGATCCATCCCATGCCTACATCCATCAGCATGATGGAGTATCTGCAGCTATATAAGAAATTGGAATGATTTCACCTAATACAACAATCTCAGATAAGGACACAGATTGCCTAAATTATTCTGATAAGAAAAAACATGGTCGACTTAGTTATACCTGGGTAAGAAATAAGTATTATGAAGAGACATGGGACTCCTCAACCTGGTAATGGTGATCACATGAAAAGGAGCACCAGATCTCACAGTTCACTTGAATAGCATAGCCAAAAATTCTGCATATTTTACAGGGAAAAGCTGGATATACCTTGCTAGTCCTCAGGCTTTAATGATTTATTAATACTCAGAGAAATCTGACAGATAGCACCTTAACCAGGTGATCAAAGCTAGCATCACCAGTAATGAGACATATCAAATTCAGGTTCTCCAAATATGGTACACTGAGGACACTGCAACATTCTGTGCTATTTTTGGCAAAAATTCACAGTCTCAGTTTTAGTTTTCCAAAAATGCATAGTCTCAATCTAATCATAAGAAAACATCTAACAAACCCAAATTGAAGGACATTCTAGAAAATAACTGGCAGCACTCATCAAGAGTCGAGGGCAGGAAACAGAGAAAGACTAAGGAACTGTCCTAGATTAGAGAAAACTAAGAAGATATGACAACTTGATGAAATGCAAGATCCTGGCTTTGATAGTGGACCACAGAAGAGGGCATTAGTGGGACAACTGGCAAGGTTTGATTAAGGTCTGACTCTTACTTAATAATACTACATTAATGTTAATTTCCTGGTTTTAATCATTGTACTCTGGATATATGAGATGTTAACATTTGTGGGAGCTAAGTGAAGACACAAGAAGGCTCTTTTAATTTTTTATAACTTTTTTGTAAATCTAAAATTTCAAAATAATTTTTAAAGATAAATATATTAGTCATGAAGAGCAATTTAGAATCTCTCTCTTTTTTATTGAGACAGAGTCTCATTCTGTCACATAGGCTGGAGTTCAGTGGCTCAAACATAGCTGATTTGCAGCCTCAAACACCTGGGCTCAAGCAATCCTCCCATCTCAGCCTCCTGAGTAGCTGGGGCTTCAGGCACATGGCCACCATACTTGGCGAATTTTTTAATATTTTCTTAGAGATAAGGTCTCACTATGTTTCCCAGGTTGGTTTCAAACTTCTGGCCTCAATAGATCTTTCTGCCTTGGCCTCTGAAGTGCTGGGATTCTGGGTGTGAGCTATAGTGTACAATTTAGAATCCTGAATAAGATTCTTGGCCATGGGAATTTATGCAAGAGAGGTAGCTTGAGAAACACCTACCTCTTGAAATGAAGTAGAGTTTGAGATTTTGTTTGGCTATAAAAACAGGAGAGCATTTAGAGGTGGGCAGAAGACATTTAACTTTTGTTCTACCTAATAAATTTGCTTAACGCAGAGCTCTTTGTAAATAAATCATTATTAAGTCTTTAAAATGAACATATTCTAAAAATGCAAGTTAAAATAGAAATTGCCTAAGTAGAGTAGTCAACTCTGGGATCAGTTCACCCAAAAAGACAGACAACTTATTCATTCATTTAATTCTTTTATCATAATGTCATTGTAAATATCATTGAAATTCTTATGAAATGTTTTCCAGTCTTAAAACCATGTAGATACATAGTTTTAAGTCAGAATACATTTTTCCTGTCTTGTAATTAGAACTTCTTCACATTAGTGTGAGCTAATTCCTTCCCTAAGTTTGGAATCTAAGAGGGAAACTAGTGTAAACAAATACTTGTATGTGTAGAAATTGGCATACGTTTTGGGCTGGGTATGGTGACTCACACCTGTAATCCCAGCACTTTGGGAGGCCAAGGCAGAAGGATTCCTTGAGGCCAGGAGTTTGAGACTAGCCTGGGCAACATAGCAAGATCCTGTCTTTACAAACTTTTTTTTTTTTTTTTTTAATTAGCTGGGTGTGGTGGCACACATCTGTAGTCCTAGCTACTTGGGAGGCTGAAGTTGGAGGATCACTTGAGCCCAGGAGTTTAAGGCTGCAGTGAGTTGTGATCACATCACTGCATTCCACCCTGGACAACAAAGTGAGACCCTTTCTTAAAAAAAAAAAAAGAATGAAATATTGTGGTTATGATGAAAAAGATGATTCAAAAGGCAGGGGATGGTGATAATTATAGAGGAAGGACTCATATCTCTTCTAATAAAACAAGACAAAAAAATCCTATGAGAGATCACTTTTAGATTTCTTGAAAGTTTAAAAACCAGATGGCTTAGAGAGGTGGCAGGGAAAAACTCTAACTCAAATTAATGAGTGGGGCATTTTGACACAAACAAACAAATCAACAAAAAACAATGCGGAGACAACAGCAGAAATATATTGCTGGAGACAGAATACAAAGGCAATAAAATAGTATAATTTAAGAATAAAAACATCTGTATACTCAATAAATACTAATTAAGCATTTACTATGTATAAAGCACCATGCTAGATCCTGATGATGATAAAAAGGTGTGACATAGCTCTGAAATCCAGCTTTTTCTCAACTATCATGACCCATCCAAACACATGTCATTTCTTTCCTTTCTTTTTTTTTTTTTGAGATGGCGTCGCACTCTGTTGTCAAGGCTGGAGTGCAATGGTGTGATCTCAGCTCACTGCAAACTCTGCCTCCCGGGTTCAAGCTATTCTCCTGCCTCAGCCTCCCAAGTAGCTGGGATCATAGATACGCGCCACTATGGCTGTCAAATTTTTATATTTTTAGTAGAGATGGGGTTTCACCATGTTGGCCAGGCTTGTCTCAAACTCCTGACCTCAGGTGATCCGCCCGTCTTGGCCACCCAAAGTGTTGGGATTACAGGCGTGAGCCACCGTGCCTGGCCCAGATTTCATTTTTGAATTTCTCTTTCATATTTCCATTCTTAATACCATCCGCATCAAGTTAAAAATAAATAAATAACTTTTCTAATAAATACTTTACTGACTGACTTGCTTTACTGACCTGCTACCTTCTTACCTCTTAATTTAAATCTCTTTTATAAATTAACATCAGTTTATTTTTTGAAATAGTATTGCTAATTGCTTCTCTATTCAAAGACCTTCAATGATTAAGTGACTGTCTCCCAAATTAAGAATTTATGGTAACTTGGACTACCTTATGTACAAACCAACCCTGTACTTCAAGCAAACTGGAGAATTTGCTTGTCTCCCAAATACTCCCAAATTATTTTCATAGAAGATAAAATTTAATATGGCTCTGAAAAGATAAGAGCAAATTTTATTGGCAGGATTTTGATGAGGAAAGGCAAAAAGGCACAAAATTTGGTTTTCAGGAGTAGGTTGTAGATCCACTTATATAAATGGAAAGTCACTTTTTAATATTTTTTTTTTTTAGCGGAAGCTGATGCATTTTTAAATACCACTATGTCTTATCTCTTTGTCTCTTGAATTAAATCTCCAGATAAATACAGAGCACAAATCACATAGTAGAAATTAGGACTATTCAAGGTCAGTGTTAAAAAGAGATTAGATAAGTTCTAGTATCTTAGTTTATTAAAAATTCTATGAAATGCAAATTTCCTTTAACAAGGAGTCACATAAATTCACAAAAGTAGAAAAATGTAATATTAATGTCATAAGAAAGACTGCACTTAGTAAGTGTCTTGGTGATATTTTGCTATTTATCATAAATTGTGTCATTCTATCTTTATGAGAAATAAAATCATTTCTCATTTTTTCAAAATTTAAATTTAAGTACCGGGATACATGTGCAGTACGTGCAGGTTTATTACATAGGTACATGTGTGCCATTTACCTATGTAATAGATATTGTATTACATATGTAATTGTATATTTATTACACATTGCATATGTAATAAATTTATTACATATGGCATATGTAATAAATTTATTACACATTGCATATGTAATAAATTTATTACACATTGCATATGTGTAATATTACATATTGTATATGTAATAAATTTATTACATGTTGTATATGTATTACATATGTAATTGTATATTGTATTACATATGTAATACAATATGTAATAGATGCATCTATTAGCCCATCACCTAGGTATTGAGCCCCACATGTGTTAGCATTCATCCTGATGCTCTCTCTCCCCCTGGCTCCCTGACAGGCACCACTGTGGTGAGCTCCCCTTCCTGTGTCCATGTGTTCTCATTGTTCAGCTCCCACTTATAACTGAGAACGTGCACTGTTTGGTTTTCTGTTCCTGCATTAGTTTGCTGAGGATAATGGCTTCCAGCTCCATCCATGTCTCTGCAGAAGACACGATCTCAGTCCTTTTTATGGCTACATAGTATTCCATAGTGTAATGTATCACATTTTCTTTATCCGGTCTATCATTGATGGGCATTTGGAGTGGTTCCATGTCTTTGCTGTTGTGAATAGTGCTGCAATTAACGTTAAGTGTACGTGTATCTTTATAATAGAATGATTTATTGTTCTTTGGGTATATACCCAGTAGTAGGATTGCTGGGTCAAATGGTATTTCTGGTTCTAGGTCTTTGAGGAATTGGCACACTGTCTTCCACACTGGTTGAACTAATTTACATTCCCACCAACAGTGTAAAAGCATTCCTCTTTCTCCAGAGCCTGGCCAGCATCTGCTGTTTCTTGACTCTTTAATAATCACCATTCTGACTGCTGTGCGATAGTATACGATTGTGGTTTTGGTTCACATTTCTCTAATGATCAGTGATGTTGAACGTTTTTTCATATGATTGTTGGCAGCATAAATGTTTTCTTTTGACAAATGTCTGTTAATGCCCTTTGCCCAGTTTTTAATGTTTTTTTGTTTGTTTGTTTTTGTAAATTTGCCCAGGTTCCTTGTAGATTCTGGATATTAGACCTTTGTCAGATGGATAGATTGCAAAAGTTTTCTCCTATTCTGCAGGTTGTCTGTTCACTCTGATGATAGTTTCTTTTGCTGTGCAGAAGCTCTTTAGTTTAATTAGATCCCATTTGTCAATGTTTGCTATTGTTGCCATTTCTTTTTATGTTTTTGTCATGAAATCTTTACCTATGCCTATGTCCTGAATGGTATTGCTTAGATTTTCTTCTAGGGTTTTTACAGTTTTGGGTTTTACATTTAAGTCTTTTTTTTTTTTAACTTTTTTAAAATTTTATATTTTAAATACATTTTGTCCTTTTTTTTTTTTCTTTTTTCTTTTCTTTTTTTTTTTTTTTTTTTGAGACAGAGTATCCCTCTATCACCCAGGCTGGAATGCAGTGCGTGATCTTGGCTCACTGCAACCTCTGTCTCTTGGGTTCAAGTGATTCTCCTGCCTCAGCCTCCCAAGAAACTGGGAATACAGGCATGTGCCACCACACTCAGCTAATTTTTGTACTTTTAGTAGAGACAGGGTTTTGCCATGTTAGCCAGGCTGGTCTCAAACTCCTGACCTCAGGTGATCCACCCACCTCTGCCTCCCAAAGTGCTGAGATTACAGGTGTGAGCCACTGCGTCCAGCACATTTATATCTTTAATCCATCTTGAGTTAATTTTTGTATAAGGTGTAAGTACGGGGTCCAGTTTCCATTTTCTGTATATGGCTAGCCAGTTTTCCCAACACCATTTATTAATTAGGGAATCCTTTCCCCATTGCATCTTTTTGTCAGGTTTGTCGAAGATCAGGTGGTTGTAGATGTGCAGTCTTATTTCTGAGATCTCTAAACTGTTCCATTAGTCTATGTGTCTGTGTGTGCCATGCTGTTTGGTTACTGTAGCCTTGTAGTATAGTTTAAAGTCAGGTAACGTGATGCCTCCAGGTTTATTCTCTTCATTTAGGATTGTCTTAGCTATACAGATTCTTTTTTGGTTCCATATGAATTTTAAAATGGTTTTTTCTAATTCTGTAAAGAATGTCAATGGTAGTTTAATGGGAATAGTATTTAAACTATAAATTGCTTTGGGCAGTATGGCCATTTTCATGATATTGATTCTTCCTATCCATGAGCATGGAATGCTTTTTCATTTGTTTGTGTCCTTTCTTGTTTTCTTGAGCAATGGTTTGTAGTTCCCCTTGAAGAGGTCCTTCACTTCCCTCTTTAGCTGTATTCCTAGGTATTTTATTGTTTTTGTAGTAATTGTGAATGGGAGTTCATTCACGATTTGACTCTCTCCTTGTCTATTGGTGGTGTATAGGAATGTTTCTGATTTCTGCACATTGATTTTGTATCTTGAGACTTTGCTGAAGTTGTTTATCAGCTTAAGAAGATTTTGGGCTGAGACATGGGGGTTTTCTAAATATAGGATCATGTCGTCTGCAAACAGAGACAGTTTAACTTCCTTTCTTCCTATTTGAATACCCCTTATTTCTTTCTCTTGCTCGTTTGCACTGACCAGAAATTCCAATACAATGTTGATTGGAAGTTGTGAGAGAGGGCATCTTTGTCTTGTGTCAGTTTTCAAGAAGAATTCTTCCAGCTTTTTCCCATTCTGTATAAGATTTGCTGTGCATTTATCATAAATGGCTCTTATGATTTTGAGATATGTTACATTAACACCTAGTTTATTGAGAGTTTTTAACGTAAAGGGATGCTGAATTTTATCAAAAGCTTTTTCTGCGTCTATTGAGATAATCACATAGTTTTTGTCTTTAGTTCTTTTTATGTGATGAATTACATTTATTGATTTGTGTATGTTGATTTCACCTTGCATCCCAGGGATAAAGCCGACTTGATCCTGGTGGATAAGCTTTTTGATGTGCTGCTGCCTTTGGTTTGCCAGTATTTTATTGAGGATTTTTGCATCAGTGTTCATCCAGGATATTGACCTGAAGTTTTCTTTTTTTTTGTTGTATCTCTGGTAGGTTTTGATGTCAGGATAATGCTGGCCCCATAAAATGAGTTAGGGAGAAGTCCCTCCTTTTCAATTGTTTGGAATCATTTCAGAAGAAATGGTACCAGCTCCCCTCTGTATCTCTAGGAGAATTCAGCTGTAATTCCATCTGGTCCTGGGCTTCTTTTGGTTGGTAGGCTATTTATTACTGCCTTACTTTCAGAACCTGTTTTTGGTCTATTTGGGAATTCAACTTCTTCCTGGTTTAGTCTTGGGAGGGTGTATGTGTCCAGGAATTTATCCATATTCTCTAGATTTTCTAGTTTGTTTGCATAGAGGTGTTTATAGTATACTCTGATGGTTGGTTGTATTTCTGTGGGGTCAGTGATGATATCCCCTTTATCATTTTTTATTGTGTCAATTTGATTATTTTCTCTTTTTTTTTATTAGTCTAGCTATCAGTCTATCTGTCTTATTATTTTTTTTCAAAAGACCAGCTCCTGGATTCATTGATTTTTTGAAGAGTTTTTTTGTGTCTTTAGCTCCTTCAGTTCTGCTTTGATCTTGGTTATTTCTTGTCTTCTGCTACCTTTTGGGTTTGTTGGCTCTTGGTTCTTTAGTTCTTCTAGTTGTGATGTTAGGGTGTCAATTTGAGCTCTTCCTAGCATTTTTATATGAGTATTTAGTGCTCTAAATTTCCCTCTTAACAATGCTTTAGCTGCATCCCAAAGATTCTGGTACATTGTCTCTTTGTTCATTTCTCAATTTTTTAAGTGGTGGTTTTATGCTTAGTAGAAACAGTAACAGCAAAAGAAATAAAAAAATATAACTTTGGTTTGTTTGTTTACTCATTCCTTATCTCAAGCCTACTCCAACAGCCTATGAAGATGGCAGTAAGAGTAAAGTTCAGCCATTTCTGTGATTTATCTATCCACATTTATTTTTTTTGTAGACACTGTCATGCTCTGCTGCTCTGTCACCCATGCTTGAAAGCAGTGGTGTTATCGTGGTTCACTGCAGGCTCGACCTCCTGAACTCAAGAGATCCTCCCACCTCAGCCTCCCAGATAGCTGGGTCTACAGGCGCACACTACCACACTTGGCTAATTTTTGTATTTTTTTGTTGAGATGTGGTTTTGCCATGTTACCTAGGCTAGTCTTGAATTCCTGGGCTCAAGCGATCCACCCACCTTGGCCTACGAAAGTGCTGGTATTACAGGTATAAGTCACCATTCCTGGCTTATCCACATATGTTTATAATAACGGTTATAAAAAACAAACAAACAAAAAAAACTGGAAAGTTAGGTCACTTACATTGACAAGAAATTGTGGGTATCTGTAAGATTTATAACTCAACGATATAAGATTTTTTAACCCATGAAGTTCTTTGGCCAATTAAATTTAACAAAGGAAATGGATTTTCAAGTGAAAAAGAAAAGAAAGAGGTTCTCTATGGAGAATTTTACATTTTACCACCCATGTGAAGATTATAACTATGTATGAGAGTCATTTTTGAAGTTGAAATAATTGAAACACAAGAGCACGGATTAAAGTACCAAATCAGACATGGGGCAGGTAAGTGTCAAATCTTTTTTCTTTTGTATTTGGTTCAAAAAATTCTATCTTTCTAGACTAAAATTACAAGGTGGTTCCAATTTGCACATCAGATCCTTGAACACTCAGGTCCCCAATCTCAAAATAACCTCACATTTGAAACATACGTCCTTAAGCTCTGAAGTGAAAATGGTGGAGAAAAACCTATAAAACAGAAAGGATAGAACACTCAGAGGTGAAGCAGGCTTCCAACTTAAAAATTCCCAGTTCTAGGGTCATTTTAAAAATTTTAATTCATTTTAAATGGGTTATTGTATTCAAATAAAGTTTGCATGCCATCTGTTTTCAAAGTCATTTAAATTAAGTTTTATGACTCATGAGGAAGAGAGGCCATTTTTAACACATTATAGTCTGCTTATTACTATCATTAACTAATTAAAATTAATTATTAAGAGTGATTCCTTTTGCTCTCAAATCTTCTAGATCATTTATCAAAGAATGACATGACTTTCTCTTCCTTCCTTGGAATACTGAAGTCACAGTCATATGACTTTTGGGTAGATGCTATTGAAATGATGATTTTAGTCAGATGTTTAACAGTAACGCTGTCTAAAAGCTACATTTAACCAAGAGAGCAGTATTTTTGAAACAGCAGGCAGTATAAAACTGCTTTGTGAATATTAACATATTCTAGCAAATTAGTTTGCACTCATTATCATAAGCAATTGCTTACTGTTTAGATGCAGCTTGTATTAAATTGGCAAGCAATTTGCAAGAATTAAAACATAACATGGAGAGCTTTCTGAAAACTCAGCAATATCCTGGGAGAAATGATGCTACTAGGTTCACAGACCATGTACCAAACGTTTTTACCCATTAAACATATTTAGCATTAGAACAATAGTTGGTTGGCTACATAGGTTTTTAATGTAAGATCATTTTCTAACCGCTGTTTGGACACCATCAACAGAATTTTATATATCAGACATTTAAAGACTTTGTTTTAAAAAGCCTGAGGAGAAAGTAGGAAGGCTTTGTTTTCTAAAAATGAACTAGCTATCAATTTGACTAAATTTTGATACTTCAATAACCTATTGCATTGTCTTGAGTTACTTTATGCTACCCAATTTGTCCCTTTCACAAAGTTTCTGTTGTCTTGATCATTCTTTCCATTTATTCCTGAGTTGGATTCTGCTGATGTTTACCCCTATCCACTTTACTTTCTTTAATAACAGAACTTTTGAGTGTCAGCTGAGCAGATAGATAACTGCGTAGAGCCTACATTTCCCATTCTCTTTTACAGCTTGAAGGGTCTATTGACTAACTTCTGGCCAATGAGAGATGAGCAAAAATGATGTGTGTTTATTCTAGTTCAGATCCTGAAATGTGTCTGCATTCTCCTGCCCATTTCCCTCTTTCTTGCCTAGTGATGACAAAATTGAATCAGCTGCTTCAGACTTCGAGATGGAAGCCAAAGGTTGAGAACTGTACAATCCTATCCTAGGACGACTGAAATGTGACTATTATGTGAGAAAAAAGAATCTTATACTGTGTTGAGAGATGAGTATTTCTGGGTCTCATATTGACAGCAAAGGGTGTTTATCCAGGCTTTGAAAAAAATGACCTAACATTTCCATGTATTTTTTTAACCTTATGAGGCAAGTAAATTTGATAGAGAAGCTATTATTATCTCCATTTTATGGATTTAAAAGAGATTAATATTCAAAGAGCTAAAATTATTTGTCCATGGTCACAAAGTAATGTAAAACTTTTTCTGTCAAAACCTTCCACAGGAGGCTACCGATAATCTATTACCTTTTTAATAGTAAACTGAGGTTACCTACCCTGAATAATTCTATGGGAGGTCACATGTATTTATGGATTTCCCCATTCTGCAATTCTTTGCTCCTTAAGAAAACAAAATTTGCAAAACACAGTAAAGGATATTGCTTGTAATATGAAACAAAGTTAAAATAACTGACCCACACAAGCCCCTCAGCTTGAATAGACAGCATTTACTTTAGAAAACTTTTAAATACTTTCTCCACCTTTTGAGATTTAAATCTTCTCCCAGCTTTTTGCCAGATTTACGGCTTGAAAATGTCTTTCTCAAGGGCCTAGGAGTCATCTATTTGAAATGTAATCATCAAGGAAGACAGTGCTCTGTCTACCAGTATCTGAAAGGGTAAGAGCCTAACCTCTGGAAGTGCCAACGAGTAATTTTTTCTGTACTATACATATAATAAAGGACTAATTAATGGGAAGTTGGATAATAAAGAAAAGTGTAATGTATTAAAATCTGTACATCAGCAAAGAAAGATAATTTAAAGAGTATCGTTAAAGTGCTACGGAGTACTGAGAAAAGAGACTATCCAAAAACAAATCTAGTAGCTAGTTTTATGGTTTTTCAAATGATAAAATTAAAATATAAAACAAAAAATTTAAATTTTTTATTGATAAAGTATCTGCACAATTTTTTTTTTGGTTTCCCAGTGCATATAAAGGTTGTTTATACTATAATGTAGTCTATTTAAGTATGCAACAGCATTATGTCTGAAACAAACAATGTATATAACTTAATTAAAAAATACTTTATTGCTAAATCATCTGAGCCTTTAGCAAGCTGTAATATTTTTGATGGTGGAGGATCTTGCTTCATTGTTGATGGGTGCTTACTGATTAGGGTGGTGGCTGCTGAAGGTTGAGGTGGCTGTGGCAATTTCTTAAAACAAGACAACAGTGCAGTTTGCTGCATCAAATGACTCTACACAAAAGTTTTCTCCATAGCATACAATGCTGTTTGATAGCATTTTAACCACAATAGACTTCTTTCAAAATTTGAGTCAATCCTCTCAAACCCTGCTGCTGCTTTTTCAACTAAGTTTATGTAATATTCTACATCCATTGTTGTCATTTCAACAATGTTCACAGCATCTTCATCAGGAGTACATTTCATCTCATGAAACCACATTTTTCATTCATCCATAAGAAGCAACTTCTCATTTGTTCAAGTTTTATCATGAGATTGCAGCAATTCAGTCACATGTCCAGGCTTCACTCCTAGTTTTAGTTCTCTTGCTATTTCTACCACATCTGTAGTTACCTCCTCCACTGAAGTCTTGAGCCTGTCAAAGTCATCTATGAAGGTTGAAATCAATTTCTTCCAAATTCCTATTAGCACTGATATTTTTACCGTCTTCCCTGAGTCACAGATGTTCTTAATGGCATCTAGAATGGTAAATCCTTTCCAGAAGGTTTTCAATGTACTTTGTCTAGATACATCATAGGAATCACTATCTATGGCAGTTATAACTTTATAAAATGTATTTCTTAAATAAGGCTTGAAAGTTGAAATTACTCCTTCCTTGGGTTATAAAATAGAAGTGTTATCAAGGATAAAATTATATTAATCCCCATGTATATCTCCATCATTGGGTGACAGGTGCATTGTCAATGAGCAGTAATAATTTGAAAAGAATCTCTATTTCTAAGCAGTAGGTCTCAATATTGGGCTCAAAGTGTTCAGTAAATCATGCTGTAAACAGCATGTCATTCACTCTTTGCTGTTTCATTTATAGAGCACAGGCAAAGCACATTTAGCATAATTATTAAGGACCCTAGGATTTTTAGAATGGTTAATAAGCATTGGCTTCAACTTAAATTCACCAGCTGCATTAGCCCCTAAAAGAGAGTCAGCCTGTCTTTTGCACCTCTGAAAACAGGCATTGACTTTTCTCCTTTTCAGCTGTGAAAGAAGAAGATACCTACATGGCATCTTCTTCAAAAACTATATAAAGCTGTTTTGTCTACACTGAAAATCTATTGAGTATAGTCAACTTTATCAAATTTTAGCTAAATTTTTTTTTATAACTTGCTGCAGCTTCTACATCAGGACTGTTGCTTCAACTGACCTGGAAGGGGAGTAGAAGATGTGCCATTCACTCAGATAGGAAACATCAGAGAAGAAACATGATGCTTAAGTAATATAAGGGGTTTGTTATGTTAGAATTTAGCTACCTTCCTCCAGGTAAGCATACCACATCATCTCTACATTCCTACTTAGCATACTGAAGTGTACATGGAAGACTTTTTTTTAGTATCCTGCTAATTAATCAAGTAAATAATTAAGAAGACATCTTCAAATGAAAACTCTGCCCTCTTTTGTAGATTTTTGCCAAACTCAAAGTTATAAACACAATTAACTCCTCATCTCTTTTAAAATATTCTCCAAATGTAATATTTAGCTTTCAATAATACCTTTCCATGAAACACACATGAATTGGCTTTATCTGAATATTTGCAGTGTTCCCCTTTTTTCCAAAAATGTTAAGAAATCATTTTATGAAACAGGTTTCACTATACTATATTGTCCCAGGATGTCATTTGCATGTTTACTATTTGGTTTTCTAAATACATTTATCGGTACAAGTTATTGTACTTAGTTGATCTGCTTCCTCTACTCATCAAGGTGGTTTATCATTTGTGGTGCATAGGTGAGCAATAGGATCTAGTGTAACGCGGGCTTAGGTTCAAACCCCTGCATGTACAGATGAAATTGGGTTATCTGCACTTCTTGTACCTTTCAATAGTGGGAGGAGAGAAGGAAATCCATCACTACTGGAAAATATGCTCTGTACTCTATCAACTCTGTTGACCCTCAGCATAAAATATTTTAAAGCATTTCCCTAACAAACAACTCTAGTTAGACAATCTGTATCATAACCACTACTTTTATCTATGAGACCCCTCTGTCTCTTAGAACATAGTGGTCATGGGTACTGGTAGCCCATATGATGCCTTTAGGAAAATAGAAAAAAAGCAAATCTCCAAAACCCTCTACTTCTGCCTATTGAAAATTTTCATGATTTTTGTCAGAACAAGACATTTGCTTGATATTTCCTAGAAAATTGTCATATTAAATATGCAACTCCATTGTGAAAACAGTATAAATGGTGCCACCTTAACAAGTGTACAACTTGCACAAACATCCATGGCATCCTTTTAGTAAGATGTAGGAAATGATTAGGTTTTGGGTTAAGACGGAGACTCAACACATTTGGACCCTGTTGTTCTATTGGAATACAACCACACTCCTCAGAGGGAGAAAATGCAAGAGACACACAAAAGAACCATAATTCCTATTCAATCACTTTTTTTAATGCAAAGCAAACACCGATGACAAAAGAAGTTCAAGCTTTTTTTTTTTCCGTTTTTTTTTTTTTTTTTTTTGAAAGAAGCCGTCTTACAGAGTTGAAATAAGATTAGTCACAGACCTAACCTGTAGAAATGAAATTTCTGAAAAGGAAGACAGTATCAGAGCAGTGTTAATCCAAGATGTATGAAGAACTAAACCATAGCAGCTTAAGCCATATATTTGAAGCACAGATTTCAGCAAGACAAAACTGTGACTTGAAAAACGAGACACTCAAAATCCTCAGGAGATCAGTCTCTTCTCCTGTTCCTCTACGGCTCCTCCAAAGTACAGATTCAATTTTGAGTCAGGTTAAATTGGGGGCTGAAGTGGGAATATATGGTTAATGAATTTTGTACAGTCTTCCTTCTTTTCAATTGAAAAAGAACAGAGAAAAAAAATCCCTCAAAAAGACTTCATGGGTTTTACTAAGTCTTTCCAACATTTCCCCCCAGATTGATTTCAGATCATGTAGAGACAACCAGACTGCTAATTAAACTATTAACTCTTTCTTCTAAATTGCAAATCTTTGAGCATTTACACTGTAGAAGCCACCTCACTAACTCTGAAGCCCCGAGGAATATAGACTTTCCATAGATTGGGAGGGAAGTAACATACACATTACCCTAGGCCAAATTTGACCCTGAAAATGAAGTCATATGCACTAACTCTCAAAATATTTAATTATTTTTCCCAGACTTTGCTTAACAAGTGTATATAACAAGGAAAGCCTCTAAGGTACGCTCAGAGAGATTCATTTTCTCCTGGAGTTAAATTGAAAGGTGACACAATGAAAGCTCTGTTATGATTCTTTTGAAAGCAGCAAGATTATGTTCTCAGCCAATGTAATGTATAGCTGACACAGAATAAAGTGTTGGCCAAAACAGAGGAAATGTGCTGAAGTCCAAAGCCTCCATAGACTTAAGTCACAAGACATAAATATACTTATGGAACTCTAATGCCCTAGGTTATTGTATAAAAGTGATATGTGTGTTAAATTTTTAAATAAACCAACCAAAACAGTGTAGCAAATTCAGCTCCAAAATAGATTCCTTTAATTTTGAAAGATATGTTAACAATATAGAAATATGTAAAAATACTATTTCTTTTATATAAAGTGAATTCTTTACCTCTTCCATCAGAGCAGTGTCTACACTCTAAATTCATTAATAAATTCTCCTTGTCCTATGTGAAAATGAGTAAAAAATAAGATTGCAAATGTGGAAGTTCTCAACCTTGAATCAGGAAACTATAGATCTAGTCCTAATTCCTTGCTTTGTGACTTTGCCAAAGTTATTGAAACTATACAATAATCCTCATTTTCTTCTTCTGAAAATAAAGGAGTTTTTCCAGGTAATTTATATGGGCATCTCCAGCTCTATTCTGAGTTTAAAATGTCACTCCACCAAAGCCGGCGTTAACCTTGAACTTGATTCCAGAGTACACTGAGCATGAAGTAGAAAGTTAAATTTATCAGTGAGGCAATTCAGCAGACAACATGCAATGACTTCTTTGGTTTATATTTATTTCATTCTTATTTGACTTTCAACAAAATTGCACAGAATGTTTTCTGTATTTTATGGCTGTGAAACAACACAGTAGAGGACATTTTATTTTGCCTAGCAATTCTTTCTATGATTAAAATTAAGACATAAATACAGAAGAATTGAATAGTGTATGGGATAAGCACTGCTAGCAGTTAACTTTTTAATTTTCTAAAATCATATACCCTACATGGCTGTTCTAGCAACTCCACCCAAAATCAATATAATACAAAATCCATAGAAATAGTAGTCTAAAACCAGTTCCAGGTTTATTAGAACCTAGTTATGTAATTACTGAGGTCTTCTCTTTTTAAATCTATAATTACTACTGTTATACTAAAAAGGTTGGGTTAAATGTTATTAGGCAAAACCACCCTGGCTGATTTGTTTTGTGAATACATGTTAAGATAATTCCTACTTAGAAGAACAGAATCATTCCAAGCTGAAATTCTTATGAGCCTTAGTAGGTTCTATTGTCATAAATATGACTCAGATCCAGAAAGGGATTCATTACCCTATTCTAGCAGTCAATTTTAGTTGTGAAAATATAAGGAAAAGTCAAAGCATATTCTCTACAGATGTAGCTGCAGTGGTGTCATTTTCCTCCATGCTTCTGGTTGAGAAAAACCAGGCATCGCCTCAATGGTCCACAGATTATTAATTCCCATTGTAAGATAATCCTGCCAATGTTCACCAAAATTATAGCCATTTCTTCTTTTGCATGTGTTCTTATGTGTTGGAGTTTTTGGCAAAGAATTTAAAGTCCTTCATAGATACCCAGTTAAATAATCCTATTACTCATTCCCTGGTAGATTAATACCTTTTGAAATGCCCTTAGACCTTTCACATCATGGAATAGAAACTCATGTTTTCTTCTGAGTTACATGACAGTACTCCACACACTGGCTGAATTTTGTCTATCATCTCACTTTTTCTTTAAAGCACTAATTGGAGACTACATGGCAAGGTGATGATCATTTTTACCAAGAGGAAAACACACATACACACACACACACACACACACACACACACACACACATACACAAACAGCAAATGACCTGTTCAGTGTCATAAAGTTGGTGAGCAGGAGGAACACATAGGTGTTCCTTCTGTTATTTATTCCTCAGATTTGAAAGTTCTGCCCTTCATATAACTGTCCCATACTGAAGCAGTAGAACCAATGTACTTATGGTAAGGTGGCACTGTGTGTACTCTCAACAAATGTTAATTAAATGGACTTAGGGCAATCTCCCCTCTCACCTATTTGAGAGGTCCAAATGACACAAATTATTATTTTTATATAGGTAGCTATTAGGTCTTCAAACACATATGAACAATTCTGATTGGGATCATTCATATGTTATATATAACAAATAGGCTTAATTACAGTTGGTCATTAAATAATATATCTACTGCAGAAACTGTGGAAAGTACAAAATTAAAAACATAGGGACTTAAAACAGGTGAGAAAATTTTTAAGTGATTTGACCACTGAAGGTGAAGGAAAATAAATAAAGAGAAGAATAAAAACAATAAGAACAATAACATTGGTTCAAGAAATCAGAGTATGCATCCTTTTAGAGGTCTCCAAGCTGTCTGTGCCTTCCATCTTAACACCTAGTTCAATAACACGCCTGTTTAGAGGGTGGCAGCTACATTCAAAGGAGTCAACATAACTTTGTATCACTCTATTGATTGGCTATTTGGCTTGGGACCAGCATAGACCAGAATTGGTCTAGAGGTTGCTCTCTTGCTTTGGAGATCATTTAGCAAGTGACATCGTGTGAAATCAATGGCCTGTTACTGCTTTCATCATTCTCAAGTTCAGTATCATAAGGGTCCTTAAGATTTAATGAACCTAGTCTGTTGAGTGAAGCTTTCAACCTGCTATATTTCTTCTAACATACCAAAATGGCTTGTATGGGAAATGATTACTATCTTATGCAGTAGGACTGTGCAATCTAAGACTTATCAATTAAGGATAATACGGCAGTAAGATAAACATTTAAATTAGTTTTTCAATAAGATGTGTATTTATATATTTTCCTTAAAGAAAAACAGTGAAACAGCTCTCTACTGGCTAAAAAAAAAGAAACAAAGAAAATCAGTCACAATTGAACGCACACATACGCACATAGAAACAGAATAGATAACATTGTAGAACAGTCGCTAGGTCTCTGGAGATTCATTAACATTTCATATCCAAGGAGACTAGCCATTCATTCCTTCTAAAACAGAAAGCATTTTCAAAGCAATATCCATGTACAGGTAAACGACAAAGCAATCATTTTGAAAGAAGGTAAATTACGGTCAGATGGGTAGAGAAACAAGGAGGAAATGTCAGACATTCTCATCAGCAGAAAGAGGCAACAAACAGCAAAATATATATCATATATATGTTAAATATATGTATTATATATCTATGTATAATAAATCAATGCAAGAGGTGAATGAGAAGTAGGCTGTCATGTTCTCCAGCACAAGGATGATCTCCCTAAGTGGTACAATGAAATGAAGAAACTCCCCCAGAATATTATAACACAGTTATATGTCAATTTTCTTAACAGATTTTTGAGTGTTCTGTACACACGGCAGGAAGAACATTGTGGAAACATTTCAGTAAAGAGTTATAATCTAGGCCTCTGTCTCTTGGAGACAAGAAGTGGGAACAAGACCATGAGTCTCATATCAAGACCACACATCTATTTTCTTTGGAATAATGTCATCACTAGGACCAGCAGAAGCTTGACTAATCACATGTGAAATTAAGTCAGGGGTCCTAGATTTTTTCAAGAAAACAACAATAACAAAATAGGAGTTTAAAATAATTGATGGGTATAGCGCCCAAAGCATTAATTACATGTAGAAAGGTTTTTTAAAGAAAACCTTTAAAATTTCCAGATGCCAGAAAATTCTTTTTTTCCAAAAACATTTGATATGGGAGTTTAATAGTATCATATGAAGAAGTATAGAAACTTCTCCATTTCTGGGGGACTTTTCATAGAGATAGGCCAACTCACCAATTCTAGGTTTCCTCATGGTGGGAATATATTTGCTTACTGGTAAAAAAGTCTTGGGCAAGGACAACAAACACCGAAAAAAAATGTGTACTCTGATCTGATCTTGAATTCCCAGAAACAAGCAACTTCCTGTTAATTAATCCTAGCAAGGCCAGAGACTCAGGAAAGGGCAGCTCTTTTCTACGTGAGATTAAAACTCTCTCTACATATATTATAGGTGCACCATCAGAAGAGACTGGTCTAAGGGCTTATCATAAAGAGGGGAGAGTAACTGCACTGCTAATCTCTCCAACAAAAGTGCTACTGTGATTACATCATGACACTATAAAGACCTGGATAAGTGTTACTGTATTACCACATGAGTTACTAGTTCCTGGACAGAATGCCCAAGACTGTTTCTGATTCATTTTTGTGAAACTACTTCCAATAGCAACGAACAAAGAAGAAAAATACAGAAACCAAAAGCAAGACATAGCACAATTCTTCAGGTACCAATTTACTTTATCAAGTTTTCACCTTATAAAAACAGAGGTGATATTTGGACACAAGACCAGAAAAAGTCATCTTCCGAGCATATGTCCTCCTCACCACACTCATTCACACTTAAGCAAATACATTTCACCCAGGGTTCTTGGAAGCCAGCATTCCACATTTAGAAATAATTTCTTTGGCTTAAAGATTGGCTATTCTTACATCTTCAAATGCAAGAGAGGAGCAAGTTAAAGCTAGAAAAACGGTCACACAAAGATAGAGGTTTGAGGACCAATTTTTTATTTTATTTATTTCTTTGTTATTATTATTATTATTATTATTATTATTATTATTTATTTTTTTTTTTTTTGAGATAGAGTCTCACTCTGTTGCCCAGGCTGGAGTGCAGTGGCACGATCTTGGCTCACTGCAACTTCTGCCTCCTGGGTTCAACCGACTCCCCTGCCTCAGCCTCCCGAGTAGCTGGGATTACAGGCATGCACCACAACGCCCAGGTAATTTTTGTAGTTTTAGTAGAGACAGGGTTTCACCATGTTGGCCGGGTTGGTCTTGAACGCCTGACCTAAGGTGATCCACCTGCCTTGGCCTCCCAAAATGCTGGGATTACAGGTGTGAGCCACCACTCCTGGCTGAGGATCAATTTTGAGATCACTTGACTCCAGTTTTTCCAAGAACCACCCTGAAATGGACAGTGTGAATTCAACATAACTAAATATATATTATATACTATAAATGTATATATAATGTTTATAAATTTTTATATATGCATTATATTTTATTATAATTATATATTATGATATAACTCTATAATATATATAATTTTTATATATTTAGTTACATATAAAATATATTTATATATGTATATAAATACACACACACACACACACACACACACACACACACACATATTTTCTTTCTAGAAGAACTAAGGTAAAGTTGCGTTTGAAAATGGTAATAAGAGTGTGTGGCCAGAAAGAAGGAAGCAGCAAGTTAGTTGTCAATAACACTGGCCAAGGCAAACTCTGACCCTGTCTACTTTCCAGCTTTTGTCTTTCCTCGATACTGCTTTGCCTAACAGACTCTTCCCTGGCATTAATGACTCCGCTGTGAAGAAGGATGGTTTCTAGTTTAGTGACACAAAAAGATACGTTTGGTATTTAAGAAAGCATAAAGGGAGCATAACTCCATTCACCTATGTCAAAATTACTTGGATAAACAAGTATAGAAAACATTAGTTATTCTTCTTTATTATAGAAAATGGATAAAACTAAAACTCAACTTCATCTCTGTGTACAGATAGCATAGCTACCTAGGGAATTAATTATTTAATTTGTGCACACCTTATGATCATGCCTCAGAAAAGAACTGCCAGAGCAATCCCTTGTATAGGCTACTGTGATTCTGTTTTTCTGAGGCTAATGTGCTCTGTGAGGTTGTCAGAAAAGAAATAATAATCAGTTATTTCTTTGTTTAACTGGAGAGGCAGATGAATAAAGCATATAAGAAAGGTACAAGGAAAAGCAGCTTAAATATAAATACAAGCTAGTCCCATTTCTGACTTTGTGTCTACCTTTGACCAATGGTGAATGAATTTCCTTGTCACTGTTTCTGCATTTTGAAGAAAGTAAGCTGTATTCATATTTTTTCTCAGAAATACTATGTTAAATGTATTAGTGTATGTCCTTGATAAACAAAATGTAAAACTCAGAAGAAGAATAATGTTTATGGTACATATATTTCTTCAAAGTAAGAAAGAACTATTCATTTCAATAATGCCACAATTGAAAATTGAGCCATAAACATCCTGAAGGGCCCCAAAGTTGAAAACAAAAATGAATAAGACTACCAACTTTTTAACTTTTTCAGAAGGATGAAGCTGCTTGCATTCTTTGGGGAGCAAATGTTAGGCTTTTTTCCTATTTAAATTACCACAACATTGTCACGATCTGACATTCGATTTATAACAACTAATCAAGAAATATTTACCTAATGCCCATAGCATATGAGGTATTATAGGGAACGAAAATCTTACACACTGGATATTTAAGACCCCTATTGAGGGTAAGCCAAATTAGAAGTAACCGTTGTATAAATAATGCTCACATTTTAAAAGCACTTTATGATTTTCAAAATATGTTTCACATTGGTCACTTCATTTAACAGACATTATCTTATTTGAAGTCCAAGAAGAGAGAGATCCAGAGGTGGAAGTGATTAAAAAAAAAAATCTGTGAATTTAAGGCCAGGCACAGCGGCTCACACCTGTAATCCTAGCAATTTGGGAGGCAGAGGCAGGTGGATTGCCTGAGCTCAGGAGTTTGCGACCAGCCTGGGTAACATGGCGAAACCTCGTCTCTACCAAAATACAAAAAATCAGCTGGGTGTGGTAACGTGCACTTGTAAACCCAGCTACTTGGGAGGCTGAGGCACAAGATTTGCTTGAACCCGGAAGGCAGAGGTTGCAGTGAGCAGAGATTGTGCCACTTCACTTCAGCATGGGTGACAGTGAGACTCTGACTCAAAATAATAAAATAAAAATAAAATAAAATTCTGTGAATTTAAACCTGAGCTGGCATTTGAAAGAAGAGTTGGGCTTGAATAAGAAAGAGAAGAAGCCAATTATGACTGAAAATTGCTTTGTTCTTTAATTTTCATAAACACATAATTTACTAGTTCCTTAAGTACACAAATATATGCTTTCTTATTATCCTACTTAGGCTTAGTACTACACCCAACAGTGACCTGGGGAGCACATACTGAATTAACCAATAGGGAGGATTTGTCCTTCTGTATCTATTTTGATCATTAACAGGACACTTTACAAAGTAGCTGGGGAGTTCAGAGTATAGCTCATGGCTATGGAATATAATTGAGCTCACAGACTCAGGGAGTCAATCCCTTCACTTAAGGTTCATTAGCCTGGGTTCCAAGGATCCCAGGGGGCGATTCCTTCCTTTTCTGAATCCCCATAGCACACATCACCCAGACAATGTCTGTAGGACAACTTTAGCACTTCAAATGAAATATTGTCTGTGAGATCTTTGCTTTTCAATTGATTCGTGTTATCTTTGTCTTACCTCCCAATTAATCTCCAGAGCTCCTTGTAGATAGGAACTATGTCATCCAGATTCTTTATCTAGGCCACATAGCTTCTAGCCAATTACTTGACAAAGCATAGGTGCATAACCAATGTCTTCTTTGTGCCTCTGAGTTGCAAACGCAGTTGTATATCTACGTTAATGAAACGATGCTTCATGCCTGTATTTTAAAAACTGATGCCTAGACAGGTGAGTAATGCCAAGCAGACTATGCAAGCTCTTGTGGTTTCTGATTATCAGATAAGAGTCGCTTAATTTGGTAATTGTGACATTGTAGATATGGAAAGTATAGTAAAAGCCAACTAGTGCAGAACCCTCATTTTTTACATGGGGAAACAGACTTAGACAGGGAAAGTGCCTTGCCTAAGATCACAACTAATATTGTGCAAGAATCTGTTGTGGGCTCAGCATATGGTAGGCAATTATTTCAATGAATAAAGAAGTACCAGATGTGGGTCACATGGTCCCCTGGCACTCCAGCCGAGAAGGCAACTTGGTGTTATTTCTATGAGTCCTTGCAGGTGTGGAATACTGTATACTCTTCCCTTTGCTGTATTGTTTCTGCCAAAATAATTGTATTTTGTAGCTGTATTTTCACTTAAATATAAAAGCAGCTAAAAGATAGTATGCACTGTATTTCCCAACTTTGTATTTAAGTCCATGATTACGTCTACGTATTTACACAGATTCCTTTTCAAAATACTTACAAGGCATGCACCAAAATAATAACAGATTATATCTGGCCAATGGAATTCTTGGTGACTTTAATCTGACTTTTTAAACATGTCAACATATCTCCAATATTGTCATGAATATATAAACAAACATTAATTTTATAGCTAGAAGTTAAGTCCAGTAAAAATATGTTTTTAAAAAGAAAGACACTACTTCTACACCTGCCAAAAGCCTGCCGTTTTGCAAACTAGTCGAGTTTTCTCATGATATATAAATTAGCGCAATTTTGAAAATGTAAATATCAATTATTGTGTTACAAAAAAACAACTTTTAGGATGTGGGAAGCAGAGGTTCTGCTAACATAGAGTTTAACATTGAGCCTTAAAGAGGCGGAAAGGTCTAATTTGGGAAAAGACTCGTTCCTTAAATTTTACTCTAGTTTTTCTTTCTATTTCCCTCCATAAGGAATTTATAAACTCAGACTTTAAATTCCATTATTTGGACTTACAAAAAGCACATTCTGTTAAAACAAAATTAAATTAAATTAAATTAAATTATTAGATTAAATTAAAAAGCCCTATCTGCATGATAACTATCCCCTCCGTTTCTGACCAAAGTCTCACAGAACTTCCCCCATTATGTGTTGAAGGAAATTTGTATTTCAAGGTACAAATGAGAATGACTCAAAACCATGTGGGAGAATCCCAGATGCATTATATAGATTAAGTGGGTGTGGTGATAAAAAAGATTAGGGGTTAAATAAAATGGTTGCTGGTCACCATGAGCCTCTTATTTTGTATTACTAAAATTCAACCTACCATCATTTGTAACATGAGCGTGGGGAAAGTAAATTGTGAATTGCAGACTATTTTGTATACATATGAAACTTTAATAATTATAGATCCACTAGCTAGACTGAGAAACACTAAGTACTTCTAGAAAATATTGAGCGTTGTGAGAATTTGCTTACCTTAAGTAGTATTACTATTTGTATTTGGAGTCCTCTAAACTATGCAAAAGGATTTAAAATTGGAGATCTTTACTAATTAAATTGTTTATTCATCCTTTCTCCAGAAAAATAAAAGGTATGTCTCAGCTCAATATATTTCAGAACTATCAGAATTTTGAATTCTAAAACAGATTTTTCCCATTATACACACAGTTTATCGACACCGTGAAAGTATAACGTACAAGCAAATTATATATTTATATGTAAAATGCATATAGATATAGTTTTTTTTTTTTTTTGAAACAGAGTCTCATTTGTTGCCCAGGCTGGAGTGCAGTGGTGCGATCTCAGCTCACTGCAACCTCCACCTCCCGGGTTCAAGCAATTCTCCTGCCTCAGCTTACCAAGTAGCTGCGGCTACACCACACCTGGCTAATTGTTGTATTTTTAGTAGAGACGGGTTTTCACCACGTTGGCCAGGCTGGTGGCGAACTCCTAACCTCAAATGATTCACCTGCTTTGGCCTCCCAAAGTGCTGGGATTACAGGCATGAGCCACTATGCCCGGCCATATACAGATATAGGTTTTTGAATAATTGTCTTTCAAATACTCATGCCATTTATGGGTATGTATGCAATTATATGCACAACTGCATAGTTACAATGATATAACATAAATGAAAACAATTCAGAATACTAAAAAGTGTTACTCATAAGTAATATAGTAAAGTAGTGTGAACACTACTGGACAATATTGATACAAAACACAAAAATGCAGTATTTCACATTAGCTTTTAGGCTACCTGATTGAAATGACCTTTTAAAACTCTTGTGGAGTCTGATAATTGAACTTAGCTACCAATAATGGAAAGTATCATGATTTAAAGAGGACAGAATGTTGTATTTTGTCTACAAGAAAAAATATATTTTCTGTCTACAGAGGAGTATAATTAAGATTTAGTAGAGGAAAAACCAGTGATAATTGTCATATTCCTCTCTTTCACTCTCAGCATCCAAATGATCACTCAAAATGGTCATTTTTTAAATTGGTGCAGTGCAACTAAGAGCTATTTTAGGAATGGTTATTTCCATAAAATTCTATTCTATTTTCTTCAGTCTTACTGAAAATGGTGCTTTCTGTCTAAACCATCAAGGTGTTAAAACATATTAGGACAGGTTGAAACCCAATGAGAGCAAGTGACACATTTTAACAAGATTTTATAGGTCACTGTCTTGCAAAAATGTAACTCAAAGTACATTTATGGGCACACAGGAAAATTTTAACAACTGAGAAACCTATTCATAAATCTTGTACTTATTTTAAATTAATTTATTAGATTATATACATGACTGGCATTGCTAAAAAATGTAAACTTGCCTATTTTGGTGAATAACAGTACAATAATGGTACTTTCCTTTTCCTTCATAAACAAAATTTTTTAAAAAGACAAGAGAAAAAAAATCAAATAAAACTAAAGAACAGCCAATCTATGAAGAAGTATTTCCTATGGACTGCACTGAAACTTGGACCTAGGTAAAGGACGAAGCACTAGGTCAAAAGCCACCCGAGAGGTAATGGACTATGCAGTCTGAGTTCCTCCAAGGGGGGGTCACACAATCCCAAGGATAGACTTAATATTTATTTACAGAACTCAAAGTGCTTGGAATTGGGGAAATGGGTGTGAGGACAAATTGCAGGAGGGTCCCTGACCTTGGGGAGCAGGTCTGACTCAGAGAACACACAGGCTGGCTGTTTTGCATGAAATAGATGATGATTTAGCAATGTGGCGGAGAAAACGTAGAAAACAAGAAGTTCTGTAACTCTCCATTTTGGTCAACCAAAGAGAAGTACATTCTATCACCACAGGTCAGACCTATGACACCAGTTCACTATAGACCTACCATCTGCAAGTGGAGACAGCCACAGGAAAAGGTGTTTTGGTAAGGGTGGAGAAAGAGACAGTAGGAGAAACGTAGCTGACTGCTTCTTTAGTTTACCACTACTATATTAGCATTCAATAAAACTTGATACTGAAAACAACAGCTCCCATTGAACAACTGGAGGTAGAAAAAAGTGGCAAACAGAAAATAAATACCAAAAATTTTTCCAAGATTTAGCCAGAAAATATTGAGAATCTAGTTTCAATGAAGTCAAAAGAAAACACAGATTCTCTGAAACAAGAGTCTGAAGAAGAGATGAAGAAAGTAAAAGTAGACTAAAAGCAGGAAAAAATGGAAGAGTAAATAAAACTATGGCATAAATAAAATCCACTCCAACAGTTAATTCTTCCTCTTTCAATAGAGGCTCAATAGATACAGCATAAAGTGATAATCTCCCCAAAAGGGAACTTAAATATACAAATTACAAGAAATAAAAGGAAGGATCATAAATTTTCCAGATTTAGAATAAAACTGCAAAAACACACAGATTGCCACATAAACACATTCTAAAAATGCATGCTACTTATTAAAAGAGAAATTTAAAAAGAAACCCTTAATGAAAAAAAATGAATTTGTAATACATAAAGAATTTTTACAACCAATAAGATAAAACCCAAAAATTCAATTAAAAACTGGGCAAGTCTGCATAGGAAGTTCATGAATTTAAGAAATTGAAGAAACATCTTAAAAAACACATAAAAATTTTAAAAGAAGTGGCTCTAAACATACAAAAACATGTCCAACCACCTAGTAAAGAAAGATCAATGAAAACGACATTGAGGTACCATTGGCAAATATTGAAAAGATTGACAGAGAGCGTTGGGCAACTCTCAACACTGTTCAAAGGAAGGGAAGTTTGGATTCAAATACATTGGAGGAAAATTTGGCAATCTACCAAAATGAAAACTGCACAACATTTTCCCCCCAATAATTACATTTTTAGGACTTTATCATACAAATGAACTGAAACCTGTTTATATAAATAGCCAGTTTAATTAGGCCAAGCCTGCATTAAAGTTAGTTCTCAAATGAGTTAAACAGTTTCCATTTTCCACTTTCTTTTATTTGTCTATGTCTTAACCCAAAACTCATGCAAAATTTTCCAGCATGATCTCTCCCCAAAATGTGAGTAGATGAAAGATCTGGATGGTTTGTGTTTTCGAGTGCTATTGGTAAATCAGAAATTTTTTAACTTTAATGTGCAAATCTCATTTTTACAGTCCCTTATTAAATTTAAATTTGGTATAAATTGAAGGAGCTCACTATATTTAAAATAACAATAGAATTGAAAACCTGACATAGGAAGGGCCTGATACATCTTAAGAAAAATTTAGTCAAGTATAACCTTAATATTTATATACACAACCCAAAGTCCATGTTAATTCCACTTGGTATTACTATATAAAAGAGATTATTATTTATGCAGCCAAAAAACATATGAAAAAAAGCTCATCATCACTGCTTATTAGAGAAATGCAAATCAAAACCACAATGACATACCATCTCATGTCAGTTAGAATGGCGATCATTAAAAAGTCAGGAAACAACAGATGCTGGAGAGGATGTGTAGAAATGGGAAGGCTTTTATACTGTTGGTGGGAGTGTAAATTAGTTCAGCCATTGTGGAAGACAGTGTGGCTATTCCTCAAGGATCTAGATCTAGAAATACCATTTGACCCAGCAATCCCATTACTGGGTATATACCCAAAGGATTATAAATCATTCTACTATGAGGACACATGCACATGTATGTTTATTGCGACACTATTTACAATAGCAAAGACTTGGCACCAACCGAAATGTCCATCAATGACAGACTGGATAAAGAAGATGTGGCACATATACACCATGGAATACTATGCAGCCATAAAAAAAGATGAGTTCATGCCCTTCACAGGGACATGGATGAAGCTGGAAACCATCATTCTCAGCTAACTAACATCATTCTCAGCTAACTAACACAGGAACAGGAAACCAAACACTGCATGTTCTCACTCTTAAGTGGGATTGAACAATGAGAACACATGGACACAGGGAGGGGAACATCATCCACCAGGGCCTGCTGGGGGTTGGGGGGCTACGGGAGGGATAGCATTAGGAGAAGTACCTAATGCATGCCGGGCTTAAAACCTAGATGATGGGTTGATGCGTGCAGCAAATCACCATGGCACGTGTATACCTATGTAACAAATCTGCACATTCTGCACATGTATCCCAGAACTTAGAGTATAATTTAAAAAAAGAGACTATTGCGGAGACTGAAAAAGAGATAGAAGGAAGAAAAATAAACTAAAATCTGTAAAAATAGACATCACTTTTCAATATAAAATGTATCTCAAACTTTCTGAAGATATTGCCTCCATTTTTTAATCTCTAAAATGAGCATAGGCTGGCTGCCAAAGTCCACAATGTAAATGTTAACAAATTATAGTCAAAAATGCCTTTCAACTACTTAAAAAAAAACCCATAAAAATGTAGTTAGTAGTCGATGTTGCCTAAATAGAGTCTCGAAGCCTACAATCTGTAGGCTGTAGAAGTGAACCAAGTCAAAATTTAAAAACAGGCTTCTGTACAACAGATTTTCTCTGTATACTTAACTCACATTAGAAGTGTGGCATGTGTTACAAAATTGATGTCAGATAGCTTAGAAGACTTCATATGTTTTGAATGACAAGGTATTGACCATGGTTTCTGCAAAAGAAACTAAGCATCATAAAAACAGATACTTTAAACACCAAGAATATCATCACTCCATTTGTTCTGCTCCTTTAGAGGTCCTGTGTAATTGGAAGTGAGGCTACTGGACTACAATGTTATCTTTTACAATGAACTACCAAATTTAGATGTCAGAGTGACAGTTGAAGAAAATTGCTTGAATGGGAAATAAATGAACAGTCACAGAATAAACCAAGTCTACTTGCCCAGGCCTTGTGTTATTAACTAGAGGGATGATTACTGCAGCAAGAAGTGATAGCTTATAAAAATTCTATGAAAATCAATATAGATTTGCAGATTGTAACTTCAACAAAGATTTGATTTGTCAAATATTAGTCTAACTTGCTTTATTCAGCACATGCATTTCTAAAATTATTAAAGACAAATATTCATGATTGAAATCTAAATGCAATATTTTTTAGAACTCTTGTTTTTAAATATTTAAAGTTTCAGACAGAAAAAAAAAAATCTATTCATGGGTAGTTGTCTTCACTTACTATAGTCCCAGAACATAATTGTTGCCCCTTGACTTTTATTCGAAGATTTGGCTTCCCCACACAAAATTTGTCTTTGTCTAACACAGTAACACTTTATGATGTCAATTAATAATTATTGATTCATTGAGTCCCTTCTAATTCACTTACATTACCAATCAGTAGTTCATTTTGGTAGAATTCATTCCTTATGTTTAGGTAAATGTGGAAACTTTCTTCCAAATACAGCTCCTTCAAATTTAAAAGAAAAGTGCCTAATCTTTGTCTCCTGGATTTTTGGCACGTAGTTATCAATAGAACATAGTAAACATAGCAGTGAATTGCTGTATAACTATAGTGTCAAAAGCCATGTTTGTTTAATGTGCCTGCATTCTGCCAAATAAATTAAATTGTTCAATCACTGTTTTTGATGATAATAATTATCATATTATTACCCATTCCTACCTTGCAAAAAAAAAAAAAAAGCCCAGTCTGCAATTTTGCTGGTTAATTTAAACCAGAAACTAAACTGCAAAATGGAAATATTTAAAGGAAAGTAGCCTTTGTATTCAAGCAGGGCTTACTCAACCATAGAAACGTGAGAAACTCAAGAACAACCACAACAAAAAAAGGCTTCTTGATGCTTCTTTTGATTCTAAGGGGGAGGTTTCTTTAGCTTAATTTTTTATATTATTGCAGGGAATCCTTCACCTTATCAAAACCACACAGCTGTTAAAAAATAATAAAAAATAAGAATAAAAAGCCTAACACTCATTGTGCTTGCTGTCTCTTTGGACCAATAAAAAGCGGAAAGTATGAGATGAACATGATACAAGTATGTTTATATAACGGGAAGAACATTAAAAGGTAGAGTTTCTGCAAAAATGAAAATACCTCAAACAATTAAGTTTGTTGCTTTAAAGCAAGATTATAGTGTAGGGCTTGAGATAGGAATTCATTAGATATTTAAAATGCAGCAATTATTAAGTCTGTGCTAGGATCAAGTTTTGCAATGGGAATACTTACCCTTGGATCTCAGAGGAGAAAGAAATACATCCTTCTCCATTAGAGACCTCAGCTACATGATAGTAACTTTTATTTAAAATTTTAAAAAGAAGAGTGACCAAGGTGTTATACTTATTGTCAAAGGCACTTTGCTTCCCTAGCGAAAACTTGACAACATTGTAATCTTTCTCTAACAGACATGTTGCAAAGCTGCTTGCCATCTTGTAGTCCTATATGATTTCCTTGCATTTCCAGTTCTTTAGGAAATCCCCTGTTTTAATGATCTTTAAGAGGGGAAAAGACCCTTCAATAGAGAACTTGCTATTTATGCCAAATTTGAAAAAGTAGCCAAATAAAAATGGGCTATAAATGAGGTCTCTTTGGCCATTTCAATCCAATATAGTCTTACTTCTAGCCCCCCTGCTTTGACTAGGGCTCTCATTTCATGTAAGCATCATGGATTTGATATTTACCTGTATGACAAACAGTTCTACAGAAGGATAGCCTTACCTTTTAATTAACACAGTTAGCTACACTATGAAAGTAGAAATATTCGTTCAGAATGTAAGAATGTTTTTAAAATATTATAACTCTCTCTGTATAAATAAATGGAGTTTAAAACAACAACAACAAAAAAAGCCTAACATTTGTATTTAGAAGATACAAATAACTCAGGAGCCACAAAACAACAGTCGCCTGTTAAGAATCCTATTAAGAATTCTGACTTTTTCTTTACTTTAAATAAGTAAATAAATAAATGTTAAAAAATGGAGTATAACACTCTACTCTGCTGCTTGCTGGCTTTCCTAACAATGTGAGCAGTTGACATTGCTTGGCCAAGAGGAACTCAAAAAGGTCCGTCCTTCCTTCCTTCCTTCCTCCCTCCTTCCCTTCCTTCCTTCCTCCCTCCCTTCCTCCTTCCCTCTCTCCCTCCCTTCCTTCCTTCCCTTCTTTTTCCTTCCTTTCTTCCCTTCTTTTTCCTTCCTTCCTTCCTTTTTCCTTCCTTCCTTTCTCTTCTTCTCTCTCCCTCTTTCTCTTTCTTTCTTTCTTAGCCAGGAGATTTTAAGGAGTCAGTGTCTAGACCATCTTTGTTTTGATCACCAAGCTCAGTAGTCAATCCATAGATGAACTATTTTAGAAAAATATTTTCATGTCAGTTTGTAGCTGGACTGCTTTGGTAGCACACCCATTAAAGCACAAACTCCTTTAAATTCACAGTGCTTTGTGTCTGTTTATACAATTCCCAAAGCATAAAAATTTCAGGATTGGAGCTGAAGGGTGCACCCATCTTTATTTTTCTGCTTTTGATGCACCCTTCAAATTGCTTCACACCCTTCTATACAATCTACCTTGATCAGAAATATGTATTTATCATACTATTAGGGGAAAAAAGAAACATATGTTCTGAGTGGCAATTAAGTTACCAGCACTGTTAAGGTCCTGGTTATTTTATGTAATCTACCATATAACTCAAAACATCCAACAATATTGGCCAAAGACATTGACCATAGATAGTGCTTTCTTATCTTTTCCTTTCTCTCTCTCTTTTTTTTTTTTTTTTTTTGAGATGAAGTCTCACTCTGTTACCCAGGCTGGAGGGCAGTGGCAGGATCTTGGCTCACCACCTGCCAGGTTTAAGTGATCTTCCCAAGTCAGCATCCCAAGTAGCTGGGATCACAGACACCACCCACCACCACACCTGGCTTTTATATATATATAATATATATATATATTATATATATTATATATGTATTATATATATAATACATATATAATATATATTTTATATATATATTATATATATATATATTTAGTAGAGATGGGGTTTCACCATGTTAGCCAGGCTGGTGAACACCTGACCTCAAGTGCTCCGCCCCCCTTGGCCTCCCAAAGTGCTGGGATTACAGATGTGAGACACTGTGCCTGGCCATTGATCATAGATAGTACCTTTAAAAACGTATCTCAATCTACCACTTCTAATCTGAGTGAAACCGTTTGAATTGGGTCCAAAGGTTAATCAAGGGCCCCTGTATTTTGTTAATATGAACTCTCTAAAGGGCTTTATATTTACGATTTGTTTTAAGCTGCTTACTAAAGCATGGTGGAACATATTTTACCTGCTAAAAAATATTCTACAAAAGCATCAAAACTGAAAGATGAAAATTAGGCCTTACTGAGAAAAGAACCCCTTTATGTCCAAAACGGTCCAGGATAGGCTGGAATTCAATTATAGTATGGCAAAATATTGTGAACAGGCTGAGATAAGCAACAGCTCGAAGACTTCTTGGGTTGATTCTAGTAAAAAATTATTTAAACTACAAAATAACTTAATGATGTGTCACTGGCCTGACAAACCATTAAAATAATCTAGAAGTAGAGATTTAATTACAAATAAAGCACCTCTTAAAATATTAATTCCTAAAATAAAAATGACATGCTTATCCAATTATATCACAATCCACTCATTTCCTCTTCCCACCAGGCTGAAGTTTCTCTTTTTATATTTTAAGGCTTAAAATAACATGGGTTTAAACATTTTGATATCTGTGGCATCATTTGTCAGGGACTATCCTATTTTGTGGGAACCACTCTTCAAATCATTGGCCTGTACAAAATACAAATAATGGTGTTAGTGTTACTACTTGTACCTTTTCCACCAAATGACCCACCAGTTGCTTATCAGCTGATACAGTTATCTATAAAACAGCCCTAAGGTACTGGTCATCATCAAATTTATAATAATATCACTGTCAACATTTTCTGTTAAAGAGGAAAATAGATCAATCTAAATAATAACAGCTTAAAAGTTACAAAATGCATCACTATAATGTGTATCTTAATAATGATTAGAATTTCACATAACATGCTAGCAAAATACTTTTGACATGAGGAAAAAATGTTTAAAACTGAATAAGAATGTCCTAAAATACTGTATGCATTTGGCCTCCTTTTTCACCAAAATTTAACTTTTTTGGTTGTCTGCCCCAGGATCATAATGACCATGATGATTATCCTAGTTTAGGTAATTTATTAATAAGGTAATGACTCATTAATTACAATGTTTACATAAATAACATATCAAACAACTCTGATGAAGCTTTATAAGTAAATCAAACTGAAAATGTGCTCTGTGATTTTACTAAAGACAGCCACAAAGCTTTAAATAGTGCTTGTTTATAGACCACTTTGAAAGAAAAAAAATTCACTTCGTATCTCTTGTTGACAAAATGCCAAGAATCATTTTCAAATTAGTAGCGATAAAATATTAAGTGATTCATAAATCATAATGGAAAACAGAAAAGTTGAAGTAAATATAGGCTTGAAAATATTATCTCAGAGGGGTACAAAATAATTTCAAATGGCAGTAACACTAAGCCACTTACTTGAATTTTAAATGTGAATTTGTCTTGAAATTGTAGTTCAGGTTTCCCTCCAATTAAGAAAAAGTATTCTATTAAAAAGCTAAGCAGGGCTTGCATAACAGATATATTAACGCCTGTAATCCCAGCAATTTGGGAGGTCGAGGCGGGTGGATCACGAGGTCAAGAAATCGAGACCACCCTGGCTAACACGGTGAGCCCTCGTCTCTACTAAAAATACAAAAAAGTAGCAGGGCGTGGTGGCGGGCGCCTGTAGTCCCAGCTACTTGGGAATCTGAGGCAGGAGAATGGCGTGAACACGGGAGGCGGAGCTTGCAGTGAGCCGAGATCACACCACTGCACTCCAGCCTGGGTCACAGAGCAAGAATCAGTCTCAAAAAAAAAAAAAAAAACAGATATATTAGAAGTCAACTATTCACTTTAAAAATGCATTATTAATTTATGAAATGATTATTAATAAGATTGTTTTAAATAAATGGGATTTCAAGTTGAAAATCTCCTGAGATTTTCTGAGGTTACCCCATATCAGAAGCACACCCCCATATAGCCATGTGGCATGGATCCTGATGAACCTCAGTCTTTGGAGTTTAACAGGCTGGGGTTGGAATCCCAGCTCTGTCACTTGTTGGCCAAATATTGTATTTCATCTATTGGAAGCTCAGCCTCCTCATCTGTAAAGCGGGAGTAACAAAGGCCTACCTTAAAAACGCTTTGAGGATAGCCTGAGACAACTATGGCACATCATAGGTAGTTAAGTGGTGATTACATTGGTTAACATTAAATCAGAGAAAATACTATGATTCAGGCTCTGACGGCGCTCTAATTGATAGCTTGGGATCTCCCTCCCAATATTCTCCCAAGTCCAAAGTGGACATAGGATGCTCCTATTGAGCCTTTCCTGAGGGAAGAATATGATTAATGAAAGGGAGGTTTTCCTGTTTTTGTTTGGTTTGGTTGTTGTTGTTTTGTTTGTTTGTTTCTGTTTTAAAGTACTGGAGATTTGTAATTTATTTTGAACAATGTTTCAAAAGGGTGAAAAAATATACATTTCAGGGACCATGTTAAATGGAGGCCAAGGAAAACTGTATTTTTATTATTTTTTATTAAAAAATCCATAATAGGCCGGGCGCGGTGGCTCATGCCTGTAATCCCAGCACTTTGGGAGGCCGAGGCGGGCAGATCACGAGGTCAGAAGATCGAGACCATCCTGGCTAACACGGTGAAACCCCGTCTCTACTAAAAATACAAAAAAAAAAAAAAAAAAAATTAGCTGGGCATGGTGGCGGCGCCTGTGGTCCCAGCTACTCGGGAGGCTGAGGCAGGAGAATGGCATGAACCCGGGAGGCGGAGCTTGCAGTGAGCCGAGATCGCGCCGCTGCACTCCAGCCTCGGTGACAGAGCAAGACTCCGTCTCAAAAACAATAATAATAATAATAATCCATAATAGTAGAACAATGGCAACATCACAACTTTGTTCTGTCCTTTTTGTTTGAAACATGAATGTGCTATGGAGAGCCTTAGTGAGTGAACAAAACCCTCTGCTTGGATTCAAATTCTACCTTTCCATAACTATAATAAAGTCGCTTAACTTTTTTTTTGTGGGATTGTTGAGGCTCAAATGAGAAAACACATTAGAAAATATCTGGTGACTTGACAAACATATAAATATGAGATACTGTTATTATTAATGATAAAGATGTGTTCCTGGTCCCTGCACTAAGGAAGGAAGTGAGGAGGTCCCCTTCCACAAACCAAGAGCTCAAAGATGATAAACTGTTCCCAATTAATTCACAAATTCAGATAAGTAAGGATCGCAAAAATGAGACCCAGTCATCTCAGATTTATTTGTTGGTGCAAAATCTTTTAGAATCTGAATCTGTACTATGATCTTGAAGTTTCAGTGCTCAAGAACAAAAGCAAAAGTGGTTTCTATTAGCAGTAGAAAACTTGAACTCCTTCCCAAACATCTTTAAAGACTCATCATCCTTAAAATAAACATATCAATAAGACAGAGTTTTAAACTCTATATATTTGGTCTTGAGAAAAAATTTTATTAATATTGAGAAATTAATTCCATTGTTACCATAAAATTAGTCATTTCCCAAAAGCAAAGCCCTACTTCATGCCTGCAGTATGAGGCATTGATACATTTAATCAAAATGTCTTACAGTTATTGCTTTTTAGTTTTATGGTCTTTGCTGTGTGTGTTATATAACAACAGTTTTGGAGCACTACGTCAGAAGTAGGAAGCAGAAGATGTGGCTGGAAAGATAGGTAGAGCCTGTATCATAAAGAGCTTTATATGCCATGCTAAGGATTTTGAAATTTACCACTTAAGTGATGAGGATCTACCAAACAGTTTTAAGCCAAGGAGAGATGTAGTTCTATTTAATTTTAGGCAGGTCACTCAGTCAGCAATGTAGAGTATTTTTAAGACATTAATCACAGCCTCAAACTAAGATATTACAGTTGACCCTTGAGCAATACAAGTTGGAATTGTGCAGGTCCACTTAAATACAAATCTTTTTCAACCAAATTCTGTTGGAAAATACAATATTCACAGGATATAAAATCTGAGTGTATGGAGGGAACACTTCTCGTATACCTGGGTTCCACGGGACCAACAGTGAAACTTGAATATGCACTGATTTGGGTATGATGATGAAGAAAGAGGTCCTAGAACTAATCCCCCCAAAATTCTGAGGGACTATTATAATTAAGTTTGACATAAATGGTATAGTTTGGGTCATACTGTTGACTTCAAGTATTTCTATTTTTATATTATACTTCCTTTCATAATGGGAAATCAGATGAATTCTTTGAAAATATGACTCAATTCCAAAGAAAATCCAAGTTAAAATTTTTTTCCACAATTTGTTGACTAATTGGAGCAGCAAAATAATTTTGAGTAGTCGAGGCAAACAGATATCCATGTGCTTTGAGTGTTGGCAATATGTATCAATTAACAATATTATCAACTCTAATCTCACTTTGAAGTCAAAGAGTAATCAAATTAAAATCTTTGGCACAAGTTAAGAACATAGATCTCTTTTACCATGGATACTTGCTTAAACTCTTTGAGTCATGAATAATTTATCTGTATAATGGGAACAATAAGATATTTCACCTATCTCCTTTTATTTTTGAGACTTGTAAGCTCTGTGAAGGAACACTGTATGCCTTCTTCATTGTTGATTGTCAAGCTCCCATGCCTCCTGGCACACAGTAGGAATGAATCAAGTGAATATAAAAAAGTATTACCAAATGAAATAAGAATGTGAAATTGTTCTGTAAACCTTAGAAGTATCATACAAGCATTAGTGCTATTGTTTTTGTTTCACCTATTCTGTTATTAGCCTCCAACTTTTTAAGATGTACTAAAAAGACAATAATCTTTCTTCAACAAAATTTAAAACTACCATCTCTGAAGATGCATTTATGTGTTAAAAGTATTTTTATGCAAATGCTTAAGAAATAATGAGGAGTTCTTTAAAAATTGAATCTGCTGCCTTTCTAAATATCTTTCTTGTTTAAAACACAAAATACATATGCCAAAATGAATCAATAACTTCCTTGTCTGGTACAGAATGTTAAGGCTTGAATTTGAACAAAGAAGCTGAACTTAGCTTTGGATATCTATTATAAAAGATATCCAAATGAAGAACGCATTGACACAATCGTTAATTAGTATTCATTATACTACTCCTCAAATAGAACGATATCAGGTCTCCTATATATCAGTGATTATTTCTCTTAGCTTATCCAAGTTTTTCCTTTTCTACTGCACATAACTGTTACACATTTGAATCTGTAACCAGGTTTTATGATTTAATATATGCTCTGACTGTAACACCTATATTTTCTGACTAAATGCCTCCTGTATTTCAATGGACATCTCCTGTAGCCCCTATTAAAAGTCCCTCTCCCTATATCCATTCTTCTCAGAAACAGGCTCATTTCTTCTCAAGGCTAGATTTGGAGAACTCTAGGTAAATGCCAAAACAAAACAAAACAAAACGTAAAACATCTTTCTCTCTCTCCTTCCCTCATTCTCTTTCCATGCTATACTTTTCCTAACCAGAGTAAAGTTCCTTGGGAGAAGTGCTTATTTTCTTCACCTTGCCACATCAGCAAAAGCAAAGTGATGCATCACAAATGGTATTACAGATTCCTATGATTCTGAGTCTTCAATGCACATTCATGATTGAGACACTGCTTTCTCTTGGAAATTATGGTGATTCTCTGACATAACACTGGTACAGTGACCTTTGAGGATTCTCTGTCAACAGTCATTGATGAAAGATAACAATAACATTTCAGTTCCTTAAAAGTGGTATTTCTCTTCATGTCTTAATCCAAGGCCGATACTGTACCATCTACTTGGAATCTCTTACTCATCCCTTCTCCTCCCTTTGCCTAATGAACACTGTTCACTCAGCAAATGACAGTCCAAATGATGTTCCCCTATGGAGGCCTTTGCTGGCCTCCCTCACTAGGTCAGGGTTTCCCATTATGTGACATCACAGCATCCTAATTCTTCTTCTATGACACTTAGGATGGTTTTAAAATTACAACACCTTGGGGATTCTTTTAATAATGGCTGCCTCCCACAACGACATATAATCTTCATATGGAAAAAGGCTATATTTTGCTTTCCATCATCCACGTAGGGGAGTGTCTACCACAGAATATATTGTAGTCAGTAAATGCTTTCTCTTCTGTTTATCCTTACTCACCAAACCAATTCTAGCCTCCTCCCACTCTTATCTACTTAATGTAGAAAAATCAGTGGGGCTAGGCAAGAGATTGTTCTTGATATTTTCTGTTTCTTTTCAAATTTATTTATTTAAAAAATTGTCATACAAAATTTATATATTTATCACATACACCACAATGTTATGAAGCATATTCAGTAACACCTTGCTTAACCTCATGGATAAATTACTGGAAACTGCAACTTTCAGCAAAAAGATTTATAACAAAACCATTTTACCACAGGCTAATTGATTAAAAAAAGAGTTAAGTTCCTGGTCACAAAAACATCACCAAACTTCTGTATAAAGACTCAAAACACTTCTAATATTAAACATTGAATTAAATGTGAAATATATATACATTTAAGAAAGATTAATAAAAAGATAATTATTTATCCAATTTTTGGTGAATCAATGAGTGATGGCAGTTGTAGTTGTAGTGGGTTAAATCAAGGAATAAATGTTTGCAATGCAAAAATTCTAACGAGCACCTTCTAAAACAAACAAGAACAAACATGGTGTGCCCACTGAGTGCTTTCAAACTGCATTCCTTATTGTTGTGCATTTGAAAGATTATTGCAAGCTTTATGAATTTTTTATTTTACAATAATTTGTATTTATTTATTCATTCATTCATTTTCCAATCCACTCATTCTAGTTCAGAGTTTGGGATGGTTCAAGCCTATCCCAGCAGCTCAGGGTGCAAGGTAGAAACCAAGCCTGGACAGGAGGCCATTCCATAGCAGGGCGCAGTCACACACAACCCCCCACACACACTCACTCAGACTGGGACAGTTTAGACACAACAATGAACCTAATGTGCACTTGTTTGGAATGTGGGAGGAGATTGGAATACCCAGAGCAAACCCCTGCAAATATGGGGAAAACATGCAAGCTCCACACAGTGGTCCTGACCAAGAATCATTTTTTTTCCCTCACTAATGTTATAACTAAAAGACTGAGAGAAACATTATTCAAGGACCTGTTGTATAGATTGTAAAATGGTCAGATGAGAAGTATATATTTTTTAGATTTTTACTTAAATAAAAAGACAGCAGGTAGTAATTTAAATGTTTCAGTATGCCTACAATCTTTCAGAAATAACTTCATGAAATTCAACTTTACGAAATGATCTTCAAAATACCCATACAGCACACCTTTCAATAAACGGAGTTTCATTTGACAGTGTATAAAAGAGTTTTTTTGAAAAACAAAAAAAAAACTTGAAAAAATAGCAATGCATGATGGAATAAGGTATTCTCAACTTTCAACTGTTATAGAGAATAATAGAAAATTTTAACAAACAGCTACCTAAGAAAAGATATATCTCTCAGGTAGATTTTTAAATATTTTTAAAATTAACAGATAAAATTGTATGTGTTTAACACATACAACATATTCTTTTGAAGTATATATACATTGCAGAATGACTAAATCTAGCCAATTTACATGTTACCTCACATAGTTATCATTTTTGTGATGAAAACACTTCACATCCACTGTCTTAGCATTTTTCAAGAACACAATGTATTGTTAACTGCAGTCACCATGTACAATAGATCTCTTGAACTTACTTCTCCTATCTAACTGAAATTTGGTAGTCTTTGACCAATATCTCCCAAACTCCACCAACACCACCTCACTCCTACCCCCTAGTAATCACAATTCTACTCTCTACTTCTGAGATCAACTTTTTTCGAATCAACATATGAGTGAGATCATGTAGTATTCTTCTTTTTGTGCATAGCTATTTCAATTCACATAATGTCCCCCAGTTTTTCCACATTGTTGCAATTGACAGAATTTCCATCTTTATTATGGCTGGATAGTAGTCTGTTGTGTATATATACCTTTTTAAAAAATATTCATTCATCCATTGACAGGTAGAAAATTTATGTAAAGCAGTTAACTAGCAAAAGCAGTTAACAATAACATCTTAATGTGCCACAGATATTATGTGAAGAGGTAGAATGATAAACCAAAACAAACAGCCAATTCATCAAATCAACAAAACTAGAAAAATCTCTGACATCCTATTATTGATGTGAGTACATTAAAAAATTGTGAGGCAAAGTGACTGCTACAAAGTTGAAAAAATACTTCACATAACTCATAAATATATAGAAATTCATATTATCGCAGAATAAGCATTAAGATAAAATTAGAATTTGCAATTAAGTGTTCTTTTGATAAATGGGAAATTATTTTTAGCTCCTAAGATACAGCCTGGCTTTTTGTAATAATACCATTGCTGCTGCTTCTTCCTCTTCTTCCTGTTATCATTATTTTACAATATAGACATGTTGATTTTGGCATTTAAGTGTAAATTATTGATGAATAGAACTTATATTTTGTTGAAGGTGCTTTGTAATTTTTAATATTGTAAACATCATGATCATCAATAAGTACAGGCTTGCAAATTACTTCCCTACATGACTTAACTGAGCTTAATATTTTTTCAACAAGTATATAAAAAATAATAATCCAGGGAACTATGTGCTAAAGCTACTTACGTTCAGTGCTTTACATGTTTTGTGTACCTAGGTCTCACATTTAATATCATTTCCTATAATTTCCTGGATTGAAAATTAATCAGACAGTGTCTTCTCTTTCTACATTCTTCTTCTCAAAATAATAGGACAAAAATGTTTAATCCTTCTTTATGGATTTTAACATGCCATTAGTGCTGGAAAGCATGAAAAATATTACAGGGGAAGGTAACCACAAATGGATAGGAGACTAAAAATTGACATTGTTGTCTTCCAAATGTTCATATAATTTCCATTTTAATGCTTTTGTTTTTTAGATATATTTAAAGGTATGTTCTCTTCTTTACACTGCCCAGAGATCACATTGTCTGAATATTAGCAAGTCTTATTTCCCTAAGATGGAAAGTGCAACAGAGGGAAGATGACTAAAAATAGCACGTCTCTCAAGATGTTTGCTTTCTATCACCTGACTCTAGGATGCAGTCTTCATTAGGGTACAAATGTATTATAATGGAATGGTCTGATTTCTGTTTCCATATTTTATGATTCTCATAGTCTACCACTTGTTAAATTTAAAAGTACATTTTAAACAGATGAAAATAAGTGTTAGTTGCTTGCTGATAAGAAGATTTAATTTCCCATATGTTGCAGCACGCTTAATTCATTTAAGAGGTGATATTCAAAAATATTACTTAGTATGTATTAAATTTTTATCTTTAATAACCTAGGAAGTTTGCTAGCCTATTATTTCCTGATACATGAATTTATAAATAATCTGGTTATTTGAATTTGGAATACAAAGCACCCTACTGTTGAGGAAAGGACCTCGAGGGCATGTATAGACACAACAAAGAGGGAGGTGACCAAAATAAAAGTATGTATTATTGATGCACAACCTAAATACATCTTTGAGGCTTTATCCAGTGGAAAAAAAACTCAAATAAATTTTTCTCTTGGATGTTCAAACAGCATGTAATTATGTTGTATCATATGAATAACTTTCCATCAAACATTTACTGAACACCAATTTTCTAGGAGTTTTATTTAACAATGAAGCTAAAGCAGTGGTTGTCAATTGGAGAAGATTTTACTTCCAGGGACATTTGACGATGTTGAGAGATAGTTTTGATTGCCATGACTAAGAAAGAAGTGCCACTAGCATCTAGTAGGTAAAGGCCAGGGATGCTGCTAACCATCCTACAATGCACAAGACAGCCTACACAGCAAAGAATTACCCACCCCAAAATGTCAGTAATGCCACAGTTGAGAAACTCTCAGATAAAGACATAAGGATGACTTAAAGGGAGATAAAAATGAAGAAAGAATACCTTTTGTATTAGTCTATTCTCATGCTGCTAATAAAGACATACCCAAGATGGGGTAATTTATAAAGGAAAGAGGTTTAATTGAATCACAGTTCCACATGGCTGGTGAGGCCTCACAATCATGGCAGAAGGTGAATGAGGAGCAAAATCACATCTTACATGGTAGCAGGCAAGAGAGAACATGCAGGGAACTCCCATTTATAAAACCATATTATCTCATGAGACTTATTCACTATCACTAAAAATCACGGGAAGGACATGTCCCCATGATTCAATCACCTCCCACCAGTCCTTCTCAGGACACGTGGGAATTATGGGATGTACACTTCAAGATGAGATTTGGGTGGGGACAAAGCCAAACCATATCTCCTTTTAAAGAGGTGACTGTACTAACCCTAACTAGAAGAGATAGCTCCATGAATTAAATAATGGTTGAAATGAGACGAAAAGTCAGATGCAGAGATTGTAGGGAAAGAGCATAGACAGGATACAACAATTGAGCGGCTATAAGAGAAGCTCGTAAGAAAGGTGAGGAATCTAGGGCAATTCCCGGGTTTCTGCTTTTGATGACCTAGTAGCAACTCACAGTATATTGAGATAGGGAACGTATAAGGAGAAATAGAACTGGATGGGAAGTTAGCTTGGTTTGGGAAATGACTTAGAGGAGAATGAATAACATGTAAATGGAGCCAGTTGCAAAGAATATAATTATATATGGGAATGTGTAAATCTGTAGAGCCCCAAGGTTAATATTAAAAAGACAAGAACTAGCCATCAAATAAGTTGAAATTTTACACCATAGATATTACTATTGACTAAAAGAGGTAGCTGTTAGGTGCCCTTCTCACAATGCAAATGAGGAGTGTGGATCTGGGTAGCTGTGATTACCCCCATAATGGTGAAGTTCCCCTCTAAGTCACTTATGCAAATTTTAGTAGTAATGCTTCCCCCATCTAATATTATTCTCCACAGAAATATCCACTTATTCACTGCCTTTTCATATGAATGTGTGGTATAAAGCTGGACTGACAGAAAAGGTACCTTAATAGAAACCAGAAACTGATATATTTGCTAAAGCTCTGTATTATTTGGCTTCTTTCCTGCTACATGAAGTAAAGGCCATTTCACTGTATTCCTAAAGGCAATTTACTATTAGCTATGAATTTTCAGGTAGGCTTAATTAATCAAGGTCTTAAATTAAATTGAAGTATTTATTACAAGTATATGCATCACAAACATATTTATATAATTTATAAATAGATTTGTGTATAATTTACTTGTCTGCAAAACACACAGTACCTTACTGCTATTGATTTCAAGTAGAATCAAGACACTTGGATTCAGTGCACAGGAAGGAAATATGATATCTGTCCATTCCATAATCAGCTAACCTTTAGCAAATTCATTAATTTTTTAAAAGGAAAAATATAATATTTAGAATTCCAAACCTCAAGTGGTAATCACATTTCCTGAGACAACCCAGTTATTGTTAGCACTTATATGCTAAGAAACAATTAGAAATTAATTTTTTAGTGAAATTAGAATCCAATTAAGCAAGACAGTAAGTTATAATAGTGAGAAAATGGCTTTCAGATTTGTTCAGAATAAACGATACCAGACATTTTATCTACTTCAGACACATGATGAAAGTACAAACTCTGAAAGTTCACATTTAAAACCAAGAAAGGAGAAATCAACAGGTGAAGCTCATTTGCGCAAAATAATTAACGACAAATGAGTAGTATTTCTTTCCCATAAAAGAAAAGATTCATGTGGCACTTAATTATTTCATTTACCCAATACTTCGCCTGAAATTGAAGAAGCTCTTTTTCACCAGCTGCTAAACAAAAGCAATTTATTCAATTGGGTTTGCTTTGCATGAGTTGTTCTGTATATAATAAGGGAGGAAGAAAATAAAAATGTGTAAGTGCCACACTTCCTTCCAAACATTTTTGAAAGTTATTTGTGGTTCCTTGATACAAGTCATAGGCATAACACCAGGCCTGCACTTTATTGTAATCATTAAATTTGTGTGATTTGAGTATTCTTTCTTATTAATAAACTGAGAAAATAATGTCTGGAGGAAGAGAAATAAGACAGTGCTAGTTTCCTACGTTCTCTAGCCAGCTAGGCAACAAGCTCTCCATGAAGGAGGCCAAGCCACTGGAACCACACTCCCACTGTACAGCAGAGAGGACTGGAGGGGGCTGTTCTGTGGGTTCCCAATCACCTGTTGCTTTGGAGTTAGAATGCTGGTTTAGGCCAACATAGAAATGGAATTTGGTTTTAAAGAAATAAACAACAGTGGTAAAATGTCCAGATCTCTTCTGGACAAAACATGGGGCCAAGAAAGGAATGTAGCTGTTCTAGAAGGCACTCTGCTGCATGTGGCTGACAGTCTGACTGAATAATGAGAGCTTTCGTCAAATGCGACTGGCAAAGGAACCCTTTCCAAACTGCATTTTTTCTCAGGGCCTATTTGCCTGCAGTTGAGGTGCAATTACCCGTCAAATGTGGATGTAATGTAGCCACGTGACACCAGCATATTTCTATTTCTAGAAAGATAGCAGAGAAAAATCCCCTAGTGTAATCATGTTAGTGTATGCTTACTGTCGGAAGGAAAGGGATTTTTTATTTTGCTCCTGGAGTTGAACCACAGAAGTTGAAAAAAAAAAAAGGCTCTGAATTAAGGGGAAAAATCTGATGTTAGGAAACATTGGCTCACGTGCTTCCCACTTTCAGGAACTGAACAGTTTCAACAAATAACCTGGTTTATTTTTTTCCCAGATGCATGCATCTATTAAAGCATTTCTCTTCCTCCAAGTACATAAATGAAATACGCATAACTATTTTAAAACGAGTTAAGAGTTTAAGCTTAAGATTTTATCCTTAACTGCTTAATTGGGCACCCACTCTACACTAGATATCAAAGGGCATTTGGGCCAGATTTGTAAGAATATGTTCAACAGGCGATACTTTGCCAGGCTGAGAAATCAAGGTGGCCAGATGTTCAGCAGTGCATTTGCAACCCATGAACCCAGCTCTAGAGAAGCATTCATCCCTGGAACTGAGACTCCCTGAAAAAGCCATCCTCCCATGGATCACAAGGGAATTTCCCCAATACCAGCTAGAAACAATTTAACGAAGCCCGAAGCCTGCCGAATTTTCAGGAGATGAGTGTCCTGCTCTCTCAGACATACTGTTCTGCTATTTTTCCCTAAGGACAAAGTCCCTAAATAAATCCAAACTGACTTTTATTTGAAAAGAGCAAGTGTAGATTGGTATGTCCAGGAACTTAAGTCACAGGAGCAATAAATTCTAGCACCCTGTTTCCTCTAAACAAAGGGGCCTGCAAAGGACTATTGGTATTTACGAGGACTGCAGAGGCTTGAGTAAGCATTTTCACAGCAGCCCTGTAAGGTTCTAATGCACAGCAGTACTACTCTATAGCCAGCTTATTAAACCTTAATGGCACTCTTTTAGTGTTGTACACCAGGACGGTAGATAACTCACCCACAGCGTGGCTTCTGGAAGCTGCCACAGCACTGCAACCATTCTGCAGGTTACCACCCTTCAACTTGAAATTCCTAGATACTGGTTTCTTCATTAAAATCAGGAGTCAGCAAACCAAGGTGCTTGGCCAAATCTGACCCACTGCCTCTTTTTGCATTGCTATTAGTAAAGGAGGTTTTTTACATTTTAAAACAGTTGACAAGAAATCAAAAAAGAATAATATTTTGTGACATATGACAACTATATAAAATTGACATTTCACTGTCCATAATTAAGTTATATTGGCAAGCCACCACACCCATTCATTTAAATATTGTCTAGGGCTGTTTTTGTAGTATAACAGGTAGTTGAGGGGTTATGACAGAGACTTATCACCCCAAATCCTACTTCCTGGCTCTTTGGAGAAAAAGTTTGATCCCTGATTTGAAAGTACTATCAGTCATTTTCATCCTTTAACAGGTTCTGAAATGCATTACTATCAACTTAAAGGAAGACTCCATGTCAGCCTCTTTAACCACTGGTCAAAATGAATCATTTCCCAACAGTCAGATCCATTGTCCCCACTTAAGAAAAGCATGCAAGAGCTCTGGGTGGGCTAAGCAAGGATCAAGACTAAAATAGTACCTTTAGAAAGCTCTGGAGTTGCTCCAGCAACATATAGCTGAAAAGTAGTATCACTGATATTTTTTTCAAACTAACATAATAGAACTTGTTCTCTTCAAAGGAGTAACTTTGAAATTTGTTGCAAAGAATCTGCCAATGTTCAAAACATATTTGGAGTGCACCTTTGATGCTGCCTTTAGAGGCTCTTTTTAAATTATCTTTTAAACAATCTCAATAATGCCAAATCTTGATTCATTATACTTGAGCTTGATTCATATTTTTAATCTTAAGTCATTCAGAACTACAATCAGTGAATAAAAGGGAGAAGTACATTGCCTGGAATAGATGGCGACCTCAATAAATATTAGTGAAACGAATTGAGCTGGTTCGATATAAAGTGACACTAATGCAACTTAAAGGAATAAAAACCTACTGAAGACATACATATCCATCCATTATCTGTGCCCCTAAGCGTACATACCCCAAGTCTTTCTGATTCTACATTTAGTTTTCAAATATTGCTGGCTTTCTGGGAATCTGCATGATTTTATCTGATTCTCCACTGCCTTCTTCCATTCCCAAGCCTGCCTCATTGTCCTGCATAGAACTCGTCTCAGCCCCTGCTTGACATCTGACTGCTCGCTCTGGACTTCAGTTGTCACATCTCTTTTCCATCTCTCAGACCACTTCTGATCAACATGCCCATATAGTTATATACACCAGTGATAGTTCTCGGCCCAAAGTGCCTTTCATATTCACATACTTCTCTGAGGGAAGTAGTCATAGGTTTCCACATGCATGATATGGCAAGCCTTACATCATGCTACCCTGTCCATGATAGACTACACGGATGCATATCGAAGGTAGCCCTGCATAGGGAAGAAGCGGGGGAGACAGGGATCTATGAAGCTATGTAGCAAATGCCTAAAAGAACAAAATTCAATACTGCTTCGTAGATCCCTGTCTCCCCTGTTTTCCCACAGCAGGGCTACCTTTACATGGAACTCAAGTAGAACTTTTCTTAGGAAGACATGATACACTGGTATAAGTAAAGGAGAAAGGAAGGAGACATAGGAAATGAGCGGTCTGTAGAAATACACACTGCTATTAGAAAGAGCAGTGCACCCTCAGAAATCAGTCAAGACAGAAAGGTGAGCCACAGAATGATGCCTTCCTGGAGGCAGGGGGAGATAGTAAACTTGCGAGTTCAATGAATTTGCTATAATATCCCAAGTAGTGTAACCATGTTCTAGTTCTTTAGGATGCCTGGCTGTGTGACTGCAAGGAAGGTTTCCTGTGTTTTCTCACATTCCTATTTTTCACAGTAACCTAAATGGGTCTCTTCATTGTAACCTGAATAAATCTGTATTCACAGAAATGAAAGTGGTTTTCTGTTCACTTACTAACTTGGCTATGACTTCAGGAGCAGAGAATTCTAAAACTGCTTTGAGTAACATCAGTGTCTGTGCACTAAGTGTATATAATCCCAGATGACTTACTAAAAGAACCAAATTCCAATGAAACCTTTGGTAAACTTTTCCAAATAGAGCTTCATGACTTTAAAGCTGCTTCTACTGGATGTGTCAATTTATGGAGTAAAATAAAGTAAGAGCAAAAAATTAATTTACAATACTTTAGGGAATGATAAGACAGCCTAAATTGCCAGGTAGTTATCTGTATAGCAGTGTACATTGTGTCTAAGTCTTATTTTTTAGGAATTGCTCAATGTTTCTGCTATGCTTAAACAAAAATAACAAATTATTTATTTACAGTATCTGAAAACAGTAACAACAGAGACATTTATAGATTTATGATACTTTGTATTCTGTTATAAAAATAAAATAAATCAGAAATAGCAAATAGTAATTTATTCATTTATGTGTTTATTAAAAAAGCATTTACTATATGCTAAGAACTGAAGACAGGTTGTATAAAATGACTTCTCTGTTCTGGTGAAGTTCATTGTGAAGGAGAATGACACCTAAATCAGCGATACAACAAAGCATCAAGGAGGGACACCTGATCCAGCCTGGGGTGGAGAGGAGGTAGAGTTTAGGAAAGATTTTCTGGAGAAGGAATGGTATTTGATCCAACCCTGAAGGATGAGGTACATCCTGCCTTGTTGGGACAGGCTGATCCATGTTGTTTGATGAGTAAAATATCAGAACTTGCTGGCCAAAGGTGCATCATCACTCATCACTGAAGACACAGGAATAATGGATCTGTTTTATTTCCAGAGTTACTTTATTAAAATACTAAACTCTCCTGGGAAAGTTTAAATTACAAGTCTGTCCAGGTAAAACCTTATCCCTATCAGTCGATGGAGGAACAGACGAGACAGAATAAAGAGGGAAGAGGAATGGTTTCTTAGGAATTACTGTTTGGTCCAGCCCTGGCTATGGACATGTAAGAATTTGATTTGGGCAAACTATATTAACTATTGGAAACACTCTGTTTGCATGTTAAATGCCTAGAAAGGATGAATCATACATATTTCCTATGTTCCATTTTCTGACTCTGTTCTTTTTCCTGTTTCTGCTTTCTATGCCCTGGCCTTCCTCCCTACCCTCCATTGAGGGTACAATAGCATGTGGTATCAATTAATGTTAAGTTTTGAAACTTAAGTTTCAGTAAACTTTGGGTCAGCACTACAAAGAACATCTTTATATCTACATCTTTTAAATTCAACCTTTGATTATAAGGAACCAAGAGAGTTTGGATAGGTCAATGAAAATCTATCCCAAGTCCTACAAATGTGACACAAGGTAAATTTTTTATGAAAGATCATTAGACAATATTGTTCATGTTTTCTATTTTTCTTCTACTCAATATTAAATGGGAATATCACAAAATATTGAGGAAGAGTAAATAATTGTTTAATATTACCATCTTTAGCAAAAAAAATCATTTACTACTGTAATCTCTGAATAGAAGGAATATGAGCAATAAAATAAATCTGAATTTACACTCCAATATTGTTGAATTCAATCTTGTTCAATCTTGTTCTATAAAACATCTTTCACAAATGTGGGCTCTGAATTTTATTTTATCCTGTCATTGCTTAATTTACCAGATTCTGAACCAGTCTTTTGGGACATTTGCAGACTGATTTCTAAGGCAATCTGACAAAAATAACTTGAAATTTCAATGAGGATGAAGAATTGCTCTTTAAAGAATGAGGAAGTCAGTAGGCATAAGGGAATTTCTCACAAAACCGCAATGCAGACCACTTCACAAATAACTGGGAAAATTCTAAATTTTTACTGCACTGAAAGACAATTGGGAGAGAGGACAAACCACTACTTACCTGTAAAAGCTTCACCAGTTTATTACAGTAATTTCCCTAGAATTCACCCTAAAGTTTTTTGAATAGAGCAGCACCTTTAAATCTGTCTTAATTATCAGCATATGCAAAATATAGAATGATTGCTTTACAAAAGCCATTACTCCAGATGTGCAGACTAGGTGAATTTCCTCTGTGGGCACGGCATTTCTAGGCAGACAATGTTAATATTCACTATGACTATATAAAGATGAATGGAATGCTTAGGTTTCACGCCTACTTGATAAGTAATCATTTTAGATAAATTATAGATTGATTACATTTAATTACAGAACTACAATGCTCATACAGTATTCTAAGCCTTTGTCACTTATCCATCTGACTCTCTACACAAAGGAATCCCTGAAAGGATAAGTGAGAGAAGCAAATGCTTCAAAAGCTACAGATTTCATGCAATTGCCACAAGAGTTGTGAACAACATCTTTTTTGTTCTTTCTTTTTTAAAATACAGATCATGGGGATACGAGTGCAGATTTGTTAAATGGATATATTGTATAATGGTTGGGCTTCTAGCGTGCCCATCACCTGAATAGTTCCCAGTGTCTGTCACTTCCCTCTGCATATCCATGTGTACCCATTGCTTAGCTTCTATTATTATTATTATTATCATTATTATTATTACTTGAACTCCTGGGTTCACACAATTTTCCCACCTCAGCTTCTTGAGTAGTTGGAACAACAGGCATGCACTACTGGCTGGCTATTTTTAAAATACATTTGTAGAGACAGAATCTCACTATGTTGCCCAGGCTGGTCTTGAACTCCTGGCTTCAAATGATTCTCCCACCTCAGACTCTGAAAGTGCTGGGATTACAGGTATTAGCCACGCTGCTCAGCCAGCTGCCACTTATAAGTGAGAACATGCAGTATGAATTTTCTGTTTCTGAGTTACTTAGAATATTGGCCTCCACCTCCATCTATGTTGCTGTAAAAGACACAGTTTCTTTCTTTCTTTTTTTTTTTTTTTTTTTGAGATGGAGTCTCGCTCTTTCATCCAGGCTGGAGTGCAGTGGCACAACCCTGGCTCACTGCAACCTCCGTCTCCCGGGTTCAAGCAATTCTACTGCCTCAGGCTCCCAAGTAGCTGGGACTACAGATGAGTGCCACCACACCCAGCTAATTATTTTGTATTTTTATTTTTTAGTAGAGATGGGTTTCACCATAATGGTCAGGCTGGTCTCAAACTCCCGACCTTGTGATGCACCCGCCTCAGCCTCCCAAAGTGCTGGGATTACAGGCGTGAGCCACCGCACCCGGCTGGTTTGATTCTTTTTAATGGCTGTATAGTATTCTGTGGTGTACATGTACCATATATTTTTATTCAGTCACCTATTGATGGACACTTAGGTTGATTATGTGGTTAACATCTTCGATGATGAAGAACCATGGAGTTGGCAATTTGGCTATGAATACAAATAAGAAGTAGTGCTCATCAGGTAACTATAGCTTGCTTTTTTAATTCACAGAACTACCTTTAAATATATTTTATTGCCTGTACCTTACAAGCATCAGAACTAAAGCTCATAAAGATTATAGGTAACTTGTACAAAGCTAACAGGTTGAGAATCCAAGTTCAAAAAAAGCTTTACTACTTTGTCATAGGAAATTACTATGGACTTCACCCTAAAGTTAATTCAGCTCTGCCCTATTTCAACGTTTGCATTCTCTTTTCACTCTGCCATAATATTTCACAACAGAAGTCTCAAGTGTAAAGACTCAAGAGAAACACCGGGTGGTAATTTAATCAAGACAAAGTTCCTGGGATAACTGTTTATATTAAAATAATTAAAACTCTAAAACTCTAAAGTGTAATGACCATACAGGTGATATAAAATGTGCAGCTGAGTAGAGAAGAGAGATGTAACTTTTTTCTTAGTGTTGAGGAAGTCTTTCCAAAGAGATAATTTTAAAATGGGTTTTAAAGGATGCATAGGAGTTCAACCATGTATAAGGGCAACATGGGTGACCTGAGCAAAGGATTAGATAAAACAAAATCCGGGCACTTGACATGCTCAGGGATCAAATAGTCCAATGTGGCTCAGGGTTTGTATCCTCCTTACCTTCCTCTTTTTGTGATCAGCACATCTCAATATTTTAGCTTTCCCTAATCGGCTTAATTTTAATATTAAAATATTCAATATTAATATTAAGATTAATAAAAAGACAAAATTTTGAAATGACAGCAAATTCAATGATGAAATTGCCGTAAGTGCTAAAGCACCAAAGAACTAAACTAAAAACAGTTGCACCTCTTCTTGGCTCCCTTTCTTCAGGGTCCCAATATCTTTACCACTGAAAATTATTTTTTTAAGGCACAGATTTTTCAGGAAGGAAAGGAATAAAATTAACACAAATTGAATAGAAATATGAATAGTTCAAAATTAGACTTTTACTCTCTTTTAGACTTTCTAATTCCAAGCAACACTATCCGACAGGTTATGATGCCTCAGTTTGATGACAGCTTTTTTCTTGAACACTTGCCAGGATGAGGAAACCCAGGGAAATTTTCATGAAAGACCTCCTAAAAATTATGTGAAAATTCAGGCAAGTATTTGAGGCCCCTGCTAGACTTTTTTAGTACATCTGTAAATTTACAGATTTTTTTTTTTTATAGAACAAGCAAAATCACCAACTTAAAACATCCATGAACCTGAACAAGATATTTTATCCACCACTTCTTTCCTTCCCAAGAGGGAGATTCTCTCTAATCTCAGGAAACAAATATTTTCCTATTGTGTGGTTCCTCAGACCTGGCTTTTGAAATTTCTGCTAAGTACACAGTTGTAATCATTTATTACATAATCTATTTCTAATGTCTTATTCTACACATAATGTTTGTGAAATGCATGTAGCTTAGTTGTCTGTGGATATATTCCTTGCCTCTTGCAAGATTCTTAAAACAGATTTTTATGATTAATAGGTGTCTCTGTTGCTAACCTCAAGTCACTCAAACTCTCCTTTTGAAATGAACATTTATTTCAGATAGTACATGCTCTCTGCGGATAGCCTGTCCACTTTTCAAATGTAATGTCCTGTCTTCCATAGATACGAAATTTTCAAAAGATATTGGCATAATGCAGGAGAAAATGCCATCCTTTTATTATGTTCAAAATTGATCTGACCCCTGAGGTAGCACTTTGGGGAATTGGGCTACATAATCATGTAGACCCTTTCAGGAAATGGCTTATTTATGGATTTATTTTTTATATACAGAAGATTTCACACTTCTGGCTTTATACAATTGCATCCTCTCTTCCTTTCCAATATGTTTCCAAAGTAGGAAAGCTATATATGGCAGGAGAACTGAATTTCTATATCAGCTAGAAATCTGTCATCTGCTATATATTGGCTCTAATGATAATGCTTTAAGAATACATTTATCCCATATATGCATCCAGTCCTCTCCAGCAGAACTTTTGCAGTTCTCATTTACTGAATAAAGTAATGCTAAAGATAGTGCTATATCCTGGTCATTGTCCAATTTTTTTTTTTTTTTAAAACTGACTTCTAAATTTATTTTTTAAATGTCTTTTTCCCCCTGAAGAATTGATGTATTTTACACTCTTAGATAATAAAAGTTTAGTAAGTCTGCATGTGTTTTTTCTCACTGCTTAGTTTACATTTAGTAGGTCATCTTTATTGTATTAAAATTTAAGGAAATAAATCATATTAAGTACATATTAAAAACATAGTATAAATATCAAGCCCTTGTTTTGTCTGAACTTTTTATTATTCAAATTGTTCTTTATTTTTAAAAGTTAAAGGAAGAAATGTAGTTAATCTGTATATCCACATAAAGCAACACAAGTAGTCCAACTAAACCCGCTGATCTTGGTTCCAGTCCTTTCGAAATGGCTATGTTTTAAATAAAACCTATTTCCTTAGGCTAACAAACAGTCTATAATCCATTAAGTCTTTATGAACAAATCCAAGGCTTTTGAAATTAGTGCTTGGGGAAGAAAGAGTCAAGTAATGAATTTCAAAGAATTATGAAGGTGATTAAAGAGGAACAAAGGATCAAACTCCCATCACCATGATTTCTAGAACAGAGCCTATCAAATGGGCATTTGGGAATTTTATTTATCATCTAATCCTGAATATGAAATAGAAGGTAGAGGGAAGAAGGCAAGAAACAGTGTTAATTTAGAAAGGAGGTGGGATAGAGAAATAGAAAAAAGAATATGAGAGCAATTTTTCTTTAATGGACATTTGTAAGCTAAAGAGCAACCAGGAAAAGGTAATAATACTGACAAAAAGAGCCGTTGTTTCTGAAGTTTCAAAATGTCATTTTAACTTTTTAAGCTGGACTGAGTAAATTGGGTAAGACCACCCTGATCCTAGTGATGCCAGAGATATCTTAGTTACAAACAATGGTTTGAGTTATACTTGTTGTCACAGAACTGAAAATTGCAAAACTAATTTTCTCTTATGTACTCAAGTGTACTATGGAAAAACAGAGATACTACAAAGCCACCAACTCCAGTGGGAAAGTCATCTCTGTGCTGGCTCCAGGAGGGTTTATCTGTGGCAGAGACTTAAAATTGTCCCATTAATAAGCTTTCTCATTGGCTTCCCTGTCTAGGCAGAATTCTGAGCTGGCCACAAGGCCATACAATATAAAGAAGGAATTTTTCAGTCTCCCTTGCAGCTAAGTGTGACCATGTGACTAACTCTGGCCAATAGGATGTGAGCAGACGTGATGAGGTCCACTTCTAAGCCATGCTCTTAAAGGGGAATGTGGTCTTTCCCTATGAGAATGGCCATCTTGTTTTTGTTTTTGTTTTGAGACAGAGTCTTGCTCTGTCACCCAGGCTGGAGTGCAATGGCACTATCTTGGCTCACTGCAATCTCCGCCTCCCAGGTTCTAGCGATTATCCTGCCTCAGCCTCCTGAGTAGCCGGGATTACAGGCGCCTGGCACCACGCCTGGCTAATTTTTGTCTTTGTATTAGAGAGGGGGTTTCACCATGTTGGCCAGGCTGGTCTCGAACTCCTGACCTCAGGTGATCCACCCTTCTTGGCTTCCCAAAGTGTTGGGATTACAAGCATGAGCCACCACGATCAGCTGAGTAGCCATCTTTGACCAAGCAGATAAGGATGCCTCATAGGGTTAGTGAACAAAAATACAAAAAGAGCTGGAACTCCTAAAAATTCTCCAGAAAAGAGCCATCTCACTTGTTCAGATCTGGTTATTCAGACTCTACATGAGAAGTTAGATGTAAACTTCTATTTTGCTTAAATCATTTAAATTTCAGCCTCTTTTCCTGCATCAGAACTTTTACAATAATAGCAAACACACTATAGCCCTTACCATGTGCCAGGCAGTGTCCTGAGTGCTTTTACTATATTAACTCATTACATAAGACTATAATTTAAAACATAACATTATTATTTGTGTCTACAGACACAGAATTCAAGCACTGAGAGGTTATATGGTTGATCCAGGGTCTGAATCCAGAAAATCTGACTCCAGAGTCCATATACTTGGTCATACCATTTAGCACAACATCATACATTTAACATATATTAAGGGAACATTTGTTTAATAAGTTAACAGGTAATCTGTCTGTTTAAAATTGCATAACTGTGTTTAGAAGTCTCAACATCAACAGATTTTTTATGTGATCTCTGATTTTCTTCTTCAACAAGGGAAAAGTCATCAATTTAGATGGTAAGCAATGTCCTGTAGGGTACTCTGTACCCTGCAACCTTTTATGTAGCCAGTTTCTAGCATCTCTGAGAATACCCTGGCATGTCAGCTACTGCTGAGCAAAGATGTGCTCTGACAATACAGGAACACAAGAGAATTGAAAAGGAGCACAGATGAACAGCATGAAGAATCAAGATGAGGCCCATTGCCTATTTGTTTTCCATTCTATTAGCATGGTGCCTACTAAGTGCCAGGGACCAAATGTTTGGTGACAGTGGAAGAGGTATACAAATGAATGAGACATTCTTTCCCTCAAAGAATTAAAATCCAGCCTCCTTTGAGTACAAAGTCTTTCCAAAGATCTCTTTTGTGTTCTTCCCTTAACTAATAGGCCTCTCGAGGATAAGTCCCAGCAAATCATTTTTCAGTGGAATGGAAAAAGGGGAATACTGACAAACATGAAGAAATATTTTTTTAAAAAATTTCTTTTAAGAACCAGAAGTTGTTGGGGCAATGAAGATATGTAGGAAAAAAAATGAGAAAAAAATATAATGAAGTTAGTTTTGAAACTAAGTTTTGTGGCAATTTTATGACAAAGATTAGGGCCATCTCTTTGAGATTTTTTTCTTCTTTCCCCAAGTATCAAGGAATGAATCCTTGAAGTTTCTTTTTTGCAGAGATTTAAGTTTTCAACTTTTCAATAATGAATAGCCACTTTGCTTTAGATAACTTTAATTAAAGTTTCATAAATGCACCAAGAGCCATAGGGCTTTTTGTATTCTTGAAATAATGAATAATTTAATCAATTAATACATAATGGGAGCAAATGACTAATTGCAGATTCAAGATACATTTTGTCAATCATCTTTATTGACAGTTATAGATTACAAAGTCCACCATACCAAAAGTCAAGAATGCCTTGATTGACAATTAATTGCTAAGACCAATTCCATTATCATGACTTCTGCCCTCTATTTTCCAATTTGGAAAGCGTGTTGCAGTTTCGATTTATACACTGGGAAGTTGTATTAGTATCAACTTTAGCTCTTATATAAATGTGGCATTTTAAAATAAACATTCTCCCAAATTAATACTTTGTTTCTGCAAACATGAGCACCAAGCACATGGCTGAAAACATCTTTCATTACGCTAGTTTCAAGAAAAAACACTCCTTTTCACTGAAATTTAATTTGTAAGACATTTAGGGTATCCCTACACTATATTTTTAATTGAATTTTAAAGGAAGGATGGAGAAATAACAGTTCCGAATTTGTTGGATATTTATTATTTTGAAAAATAAATCTGCATTCATTTATTTGCCATAGTCTACCAGGCCATCCATCCATCCATCCATCCATCCACCCATCCATCTATTCATTTGTTCATCCATCAACGCATACATAGATACTTTATCTTTTAAGAGTCAAAAAAAAGTTTTTGAACTAAAGTCCAAAAGGACCTTCCGAACTCAGTCTGCCTAGAACACCACGCTTGAGTCAAAAATTCTGGAAATGTGTTGCTGTAAACTCATCTTCTCATCTGGATCTCATTGGAGTAACATAATCCACATTTTCTTCTTTTAAGCATATACAACCCCAGAACACATCCAATTTGTTCACAGCTATCTGCATAATTAATCAGTAGTCTTTAGGTTCACTCCACACTTAAATTTTCACATATCTATGCATGCATTGGATACATACCTCACAGGATATAATTTCTGGACAAAAGAATGTTACTTAGAATGATGAGCGTCTGATAAAACTATGGCTATGCTCTCAATATCAAGACAGTTTGGCTGGTATGGAACAGACAAATTAATTGAAACTCATGTAAGTTTTATTAATCACATTTCAGAGTGGCCACATTTCTCTTCTTTGGCTTTATAGTCTTTACAGCCAACTTAAGTCATTATCATGCATTACTCATGACTTGTGTATCATGTCTATATACTTCCACACTTGGTTATCCCTCTGATTGAGAGCACTTTGAAATCAGTCCCTAAACACTCTGTGTTATAAATATTCTCTGTAAACCTTTCATGTGTATTTGCATGTAAATAATGAAATATTTGATAAGCAGAATACACCACAAAAAATTACATCAAGACAAAATTTATTGAAAAGCATCCTGATTTTTGTCGTTAAAACTCATAAAACTAGAGCTTAATCACCTCTAGATTCTTTTTACAAAAGTTAGGTAAAAACAATTTCCATTTACATTTTTTCTACTTACTATCCTATGACCTACATAGTTCAGCATAATTAATAACTGGAAATTTTTGACCTCCTCTGTGTATTTGCAAAATGTAATATTCCCAAGTATACCTTAGCAGAGTCTTCTGTGGCAAAAAAATATTCACTAAGAATTATAATCTAGAAAGCCTTTGTCTATCTATATAGCTTCAGACAAAATAGCATTTTATAGATCATAATGGTAATGTAAACATTCATAACTTACCCCAATTAGCTGAAAGTCTTGACATATAAGATTACAGCCATAGATCGATGAAGATGCAGCAGAAAAGGTATGGCATATTTAGAAGGCTAGTTACACTCATCATAACAACAGAAACTAAAATATGTATTCTTTTGGTTATCTATTCTGGGCACACCGAAATAAATTGTGAACCAAACCCTATAAAGACAAACCCAAAATGTACCCAGAACTGTGCACATTAGGTAAATTTTTATTAGAATACAATAGGAATTGAGGACAATGCGGTCTTATTAAATAAACTATTAATAAAAAGGCTGAAAGGGTTGAAGATTTTCTGGGCTCTCTGGAGATTTGAACTATCTTTGATTAAATGTGAGCTAAAAATACTCCAGATATCAAAAACAAAAACTTGTAGTGGTAGCAACGAACTATAGGTATATGTAGTACTTATTCATTCCATACCACAATAATTCAAAAATTCCTAGGAGCCAGCTAATCCCTTTTCAGCATTTGTGCTCAGGGACTTCTTCACTTTTTATAGCTGGGTAATATATAAACACAAATGTCCCTCCTTTTTACTTGAACCCCAGAGGAAAGCAGTTTTACAGAGCTATGGAAGCAGATCTTATTAATTAAAGTCTATTTTTTGTTCCTCTAAATTTATCTTTTACTATCAGTGTGTTGTGTGCTAAGGAATGGATTCTAAGACTTATGAAATGGGAAGCATCTATCACAGTGTTCAATGCATGCTAAATAAATGTTCATCCTCCATTAATATAAAGGTACTCACTGAGACCGAGTGTGGTGGCTCACGCTATAATCCCAGCACTTTGAGAGGCCAAGGTGGGCGGATCAGAAGGTCAGGAGTTCGAGACCAGCCTGGCCAACATGTTGAAACCCCGTGTCTACTAAAAATACAAAAATCAGCCGGGTGTGGTGGCGGGTGCCTGTAATCCCAGCTACTCGGGAGGCTCAGGCAGGGGAATTGCTTGAACGTGGGAGGCAGAGGGTGTAGTGAGCCAAGATTGCTCCACTGCACTCCAGCCTGGGTGACAGAGCCAGACTGTCTTGTAGGGGGTGGGATGGGGCGGAAAAGGTACTCACTAGTTTATTAACTTGGTAAAATTAAATTGTATCCACATTACCAGCAGGCAAAACAAGTGAAGACTTTTAAAAAATGATTTTACAGACTCAAGGGCTGATTCCTTTTCAGAAACAGAAACGAGTTACAGAGCTTTCAACTTTTATTTATATAATATTATCCCCGTAAGGTTTAACCAAGAAGATAAAGTAGATGTGATTGGCAAATCTTTTAAAACTTGATGTACAAATGTTTGTTAAATATCCAGGGTCCTAAAAATCAAATAGCCATTTAATTTTGTAAACATGTTTTTAATATAGTCTTGTAATTCCAATGATGATCCAATAACTAGATTTAAAATTTAAAAATTCAGTAAACACATACCAGAAACAAGAAAAATTTTATTTGTTAAATTTAAGATTTAAGTCACAATTTCAGGCCAATGGATTCAAAATACTTTAAATCTTAACTTGAGTCATTAACAATTAATACTAAATATCCAATGCCCCAAATCTCCTTTGGTCCTAGATTAGCTGATGACAAATGACAAGTTGATTGCTAATAAGCATAGATCACAATTTTATGAGAAAGTCTATTTGTGGCTTGATATTCTCATTAATATTATCAAAGTCCACACTTCCAAAAATTCAAATTGCTTTTCTGTAAGAAACACAAGACAGAGTCTGCTCTAAATTGGTATTCCCAATGTTCCTGCCCTTGGGAGTTATAAAGAAGGTAAAAAGCTATCCCTTCTTTTCCCTGCCAATTCTCCGTCCTTCCATGTGAGAACAGACTTTCAGAAAATAACATTTTCCTTCTTTCATGATCAATTTAGCCCTACCTTATTTTTTCTTGGCTGAATTGGCCCCCACCTGTTGCCTCCTGGTTTTGTTAATTAAAATGAGACAAGTGAAAAGCACTGACAACCTAGACCTTGTGTGATTATTAAAGAATGACAGGTGCTTTGGAAATCAAACCTAACACCAAACATAAAGAAGCCTTTAGACCTCTATCTTACAAGATAATTACATTAATCAGTGAAAAACTAGATTAATCTATTGGGGAGTTAAGTAACTGAAAATGGGACACCCTAAAAAATTACTTGGTACAAAATAAGAAACAAATGTCAGTGAATTCATTGAGTAGTCTGGGACTTCTTTTTAAGTCACTATGGTATTGGTCTTTTACTAATAAAATAGATGACTTATTAAAGCAATATTTACACTGATTAATTCACAACGGCAGTACCTGAGACCCCTAAGAAAACAACTATTCCTTTAAAATCCAGCCTGAAAGTAGTGCTCAGGTGTACACACTGAGCCTTTTGTCTTTAACTTAGCAAACACTCAGTTCAAAAATAATTTTGTCATTCAGAGGAGAAGCTATTTTATAGATAAAAGATTATGAATTTCACAGCTGACTTGAGCTCTACTCAGGTCAACAACATTGGTTTCTACTTTGCAAGTAGGATTTGTTCTGTCAATGCAGATTTCTCAGTAAGTACTTTCCCCTTTCAAAGAAACATTTACATTTTTTTATATAAATCAAGTCACTGATTATATTAGCTCAGATTCACATTTGATGCACCCTTGTGCCCCTCCTCCTACACTTCAGCTAAAATGGAAACAGACTTTGTTTCTAACTTTTAATACTGACATTTTTGAGTGTAATCAAAATTCCAGAGTGTTGGCTTAGATGGAGTTCTAAACTGAAGAAAGGAGTAAGGGCTAAGGTGGCTTTTTGTTTTTGTTGTATGTATTTTCCTATTTTATAAATAGTTCTTCAGTTTCCTGTATGATACTAACAATATGCATGTCATATATTAAACAATATATGCATTAAAAATGAGGAACTGTCTGCCCTAATATGAGCATTTTTTTGTGAGTTTTGTTTTGTTTTTTTCTGAGATGGAGTCTTGCTCTGTTGCCCAGGCTGGAGTGCAGTGGCGTGATCTTGGCTTACTGCAACCTCTGCCTCCCGGGTTCAAGCAATTCTCCTGCCTCAGCCTCCTGAGCATCTGGGACTACAGGTGTGCACCACCACGCCCAGCTAATTTTTGTATTTTTAGTAGAGACGGAGTTTTACATTTTGGCCAGGCTGGTCTCGAACTCCTGACCTCGTGATTCACCCACCTCAGCCTCCCAAAGTGCTGGGATCACAGGTGTGAGCCACTGCACCCGGCCTCTTCCTTTTATTTAGTTTATGATTTATCCTTATTATATATTTTGAAAGCTTAGAGACATGTCAAATTAGGAAGGATCAAGAAGGAGCTTAACTTTTTGTAGGGGGAGGCTCTGATTCTGAATATCTCTAAAGCCTGAAAAGCAATTTAATTAGTCACTAAGTGGGAAGGCTCCATTTGATGACAGGCTGTAAATGGCATTACTCTTGGTCATCTGAGTAGAATGCAGAAAGGTTGCAAATGAAATGGTAATGGATTTAATTGCTTATTCTGATATTCATAAAAATCTGAGATGTTTCTCAAGCCCTGTTTAGACTCTAAACAATTTTATTTTTCCTTATATTAATAATTAGTGATCAGGTCGAATACACTGAAGCCTTGTCTATGTAAAAACACCATCAAGTGACTATTTTCATGACTCCTGACTTACTCTCAACTGCCTCCATAATGACTTTATTTAAACCATGATCCATTGAAATGACTCATGAATTTCAGAGGTTCCCTTTATCTTTTCCGTGGATTTATACCCAAAGCTCTGGAATAGTTGTATGAACACTAGAAAAAAAGAAACAGAAATGACAGGTTCCAGGTAATCAATGATAAAACTACTTTGAAAACCAAGAAGAAATAATTTCATTTATGGAGTTTTATGAGCACTGTATTTAAGCTGACATTCAACTTTTAAAAATTGTACGTATTTAATGTGTACAACATGATGTTTTGACATATGTAATGAAATATTTACTGCAGTCAAGCAAATTAACATAACCATCTAGTCACAGTCACAGTTACCAGTTACGGTTACCTTTTTTTGTTGTTGTTGTTGGTAGGGAGAGAACTTGTCTCCTGACTACTGTCTTAGCAGTTTTCAGTGTACAATATAATATCATTAACTTTAATAATCAAGCTGTACATTAGATCACTAGACTTATCCTGAAAAACGTCAATTGTGTATACTTTTACTAATATCTCTCCATCTCCCCCCACCTCCCTGACCCTGCTAACTACCTTTCTACTGTTTCTATATATTCAATTTTTTAAATTATTTTTTATTTTTTACGTTTTTAGAGTCAGAGTGTTACTCTTTTGCCCAGGCTGGAGTGCAGTGGTGCTCCTTGCTTACTGCTGCCTTGAATTTCTGGGCTCAGGCAGTCTTCCTGCCTCAGCCTCCCAAGCAACTAGGACTACAGGCACATGCCGCAACTTCCACGTAAGTTTTTATTTTTTTTTAATTTTTTATTTTTTTCCAGTTTTTTGAGATGGGAGTCTTGCTATGTTGCCCAGGCAGCTGTCTAACGCCTGGCATCAAGGGATCCTTCCACCTCAGCCTCCCAAGTCTTCAGGAGTACAGGCTTGAGCTACTACTACAATCAGTGTATTAAACATTTTTAGATTCCACATGTAAGTGAGACCATGCAATATTTTTCTTTCTGCGTCCGGCTTATTTCACTTAGTGTTACGCTTTCCAGACATTCATTTTCATTGACAGGCATCATACATGATGCTAAAGAGCATGGTAGACAGGGAGTCAGACAGATTTGGGTTAATGATCTGAGCCCACCACTCATCCAACGATGTGACCTTTAAATGGGTTAATTTATCCTAGTCTTGTGTTCCTCAGCTAAAAAATGGGGATAGGTTGATAATCGTTAAGGTTTTGTAAGGGTTAAACGAGACATGTTTGTAAAGCACTTAATGAGGTCAGACACGCAGGAGCTGCCCAGTAAATATTAGCTACAAATTTAGGACCTAACATAAAGGGATCTCTCAAGAAAATCACTGAATGCAAAGACAAGTATTTTCTTAATACTTTACAGCTGAGTATTTGATCCAAGGTTCTTTCCCATTTATAGATTTGTTATTTGATGCATTTCATTTTACTTTTTATGCAGATGGGTTGGTTAGCCCGGCCTCAGTTATCATTTGAAACTCAAAAGGGCAGAATGTAAAACAAGATATTCTTATGATTCCAAATTGAAAAATACACAAACATCAATGTCTTCAAAACTATAGAGTTTTTACTAGGACACAGTTTTTCCTCTAACTTGATGAAAAATCAGGAGTTCTGGCTTCCATTGGTATCTCTGACACTAATTAATTGTGAAGGCCTTGGTCTCCTTTATTTGGGATATGAGAGTTTTGACAAAATGACCTCTTAGGTCCCTTCAGTATGTCTGAAAACTAATTCAGAATGTAACCCTAATGCCGTTTGTGAGGAAAATAAAAGAGACTTTTCCCCTGTATGTCATAAATCCCAACCTGTGACAAGTTCTTCACATGTGTAAAATTCTGTCCTGGTTTTCTATGGCAGTCCCCATGATGGAAACTCTTTTAGTTATGCATAAAATCAGGCCAGTTTATCACCCAGAAAAGGAAGAGAGGCGACATGCTTCCAGCCTATATCGTCTAGACTAATTTTCTTGTTCTCTCTGATGCCACTATGGGACCCTTGCCAGCTGCCTCCTAGGAAATAATTATTAATTGCACTTACTCAAATTAGCCTCCTCCTAAGTCCCCTTCAAGATCACACTACAGAGATGTCCTGAGAGCCTAGCGGAAGCAGAGAAACTAAAAAAAATGTTCACAATCTTTCTTCTTCCAAAGAGGTTCCTGCAAATAGACTCATGATTAAAATGGACCTCATAACATGTCAGCTTCTTGGAATGGACCCTCCTTCCAAGGCTAGAGGCCTGAGGATTGCTTCTAAATAAAAGAAAGCTTGCTATGTTTTCAGTTCCAGATGGTATATGTGCACTAATAGACAGCAAATTCTAAAACGACATGCCTCTGGCTTCATCCTGGAGTCTCAGAAGCAGAGAAGAAATGCATTAGAAAAGGAAAGAGAGAGTATCTTGCTCTTGTTTGTGTTGGGATATACCAAGGCAACATTTCAGGCAGCTTACACTGCTCATAGATTATTTTGATCAAAATTGTTATTGCTCACTTCTTTCATTTCTTGGATAAGTTAACTGACCACTTGGAACCATTCCCCTTAAAATGGGTAACAGGAAATCCTAGGTCCTCTAACTCTCAGCACATATTCATAGAAAACCAAAGTTGCAATACTGTAAAAGGAGCAGAAATAACTAACTACAATTCAATATATTTCATTCAGAACGAGGCTTTGAAAAAAGCAATGATCCTTTGTGCCCAGGGCTGCTCAATTTGATTACTGCATCCCCTACTTTGTGAAGTGATATTTTGTTTCTATTTTGATTCCAAACTGCTCAAATAGAGTCCTCCTCAGGCAAGTGTATAAGAATATAGCATATTTTGGCCTCAAATGACTCTTATTAAAGAATAATAAATCAATTTAAACATTATTATTACTTCAAAAATCAAATCTGTAACAAATATTAATCAATCTGATACTTCTACTGTTATTGGAGAACATTTAGTCTATAAACTACATTATGGATGTCATGGTCCCATTTCTTAAAATATGTCTAGGTATATGCTTATACTGATGCATAATTAGATATGTTTATATCATATATATACTGATTCAACAGAGGAGAAAATATTCGTGAAGACGAGATTAACACAGCAGACAGAAAGCATCACATCTTACCTTATAAGACTGCATTTATAATTACCATGTGGTAGAATAATGGATGATCTTTTTCATTATTATGTTTCTTAATAATTTTCAAATTAAAATATTTGAAGAAAACAAATGCAATATCCTATAATTTGTATAACATAAATTCCATTTTTTCCCTAGATAATGGCAAAGGCCGCATGACTATTAAAACTTTAGATAAGTATGTACATATACACACAAAGTAGCCTTTTTTATTTTAATGTGGGAGAAATAAGCTAAGAAGAGTAATGCTATCTATTCTTCTATTAGATAGGGTTTTATATAATACATGCTTACAAAAGGATCATGTTGTCAAGGGTACCTCGTCTTCTCTTTAAAACAAAACTAATTTCAAAGGTTGCTTAATCAAATCACAATGAAGTTTCATACTTTTCAATTTAACAAAATATCACAGAAAAGCATGCATCATAGAAAATCATATCTTCCTAGATAATGAATTTCCAACAGGTAATTTTGGAGAGTCTCTATTTATAAGCTAAGAATGATGATTTGAATATTTAAAGATATGCACTGCTGACAAATAGGAGTGTATTTATGGAGTACAAGTTTTAGTTATCTAAGGTTTCTAAATCCCCAGGAGCTCAAGAATGAAGAAACCATGCACTGATAATCCGAACCTGGATAGATGAATTCTAGACAGCAACTTGTGTACTCCCCTCACAGCCACAGAGGTAGGTGGAATGTATAATACATTGTCTTGTGGAAATCATAAGCTCAAAAGGACCCTAGAATTATCTTCATTGCTATCTCATGATGACCTTTTCATAATATGCAGCCACTGATCTTCACGTCTCAAATTATAATAGTCAATAAAGAATCACTTTATATAAAAAGTATTTGACTTATTTCACTTATTTGAATTCCAGGGTAGGGAGACTGTTTGCAGGGATATTTAGCTTAGCTTTCAAACTATCTGTGGTTCCTAACTGTCACAACATTCAGGAGTATCCTAAATATATAATGAAATGTCTGTAAACCTAAATAAATGTTAGTATAAATAATAAATACCTACACAATTGGAGGAATAGTGTCATATTGAGGAATTAAGTCAAAATGGTTTAATCATGAAAAGCTATGGTAGACACTGGGGAATGAATGGCAAAAATAACAGAATATAGTTAGTGTCCCTCCTGGCTTTGAGTAATATATGCTGATGTAAAAATTTTTGATTGTTAGTGTTAACCACTGTATTTATTCACTAATCTGTAAATTTGACACAATGGATTTATTAATGTAATTTAATTTACTTGGCATTTCTTCTCCTGAGAAAGACTCCTAATAGATTTACCCTTTACCAGTCCAACCAAATTATGAGATTTCTCCCCTATTTCTACCTCACAGGAGGAACCTGGATATGCATAGATTCAGGATCTTAGTTTTTTACTTTTAATGAAGAATTATGCTATTGGAAGTTGAACAAAGATATGCAGAGTTGGAGGACAGTCATAGTATGCAGGGGTTAAAAAAAGAAAACAATTTTGCAGGCACTTGATGTGGGCATGACGGTGGTGTGTCTATGAGATGGCTGTTCTTTGTGGGTTTTTTTTTTTCTTTTAATCTTGGGAAACTTTGCAGTTTTTACACATGTTCATAGAACCATGATCTAAATTTCAATATAGCTAGTTTTGACAGTGCTTTTACATTTTCAACGCATTTTTATTTTCCCCTCTGACAATTCAGCTTATTCTATTAAGTGTACTTCCAACCTCTCTCTCTCCAGGCTCTCATCCTACACACATGTTAAACCTGAGGTATGTTTTGGAAGTAGGGGATCTCAGACAGTCCATCTGATTTTTTGTCACATCCTCTCATCTAGTCACTAGAAAATGCTTCTATCAGATTTGTGTCATAGGTAAGCCAAATACATATGTTGCAATTTCAGCTACTTCATTTATCACCAGCTAAAAATAAACAAAAACAAACAATGGTAAAATTAAACCACCCTCCATTTCCTGATCATATAATTTTAAGTTTTGATAGAGGCAGGCAGTGCTTGAGCACTACATAAGCAACTTGTTAGGGCATGCCACAGAATTCTGATGGAGTTCTTGGGGCTTTCTTGGGAGTCACTTCCTTAGAAAGAGAGAATGGAACATAGATGGCTGTAGACACTAATAATATATATCAAGAAATAAGTTAAAGTATATAACAACATTATATATGGGTAAATGCTACAAAAAATAAATCAAGAAGAGAGTGATATTTCTATGGGAAGATTTAGGTCAGGAATTTTTTTCTGATGAAGTCGACTTTGAATAGAGCTCCAAAACTATAGTACATATTCTAATATGTCTAGAATTATCTCATCAGTATCTATTAATCAAGGATGGTGAATAACTACAGTCTCATTCTTTTTGCCTTATATTCTGCTCACTCTTACTTCCCTAGTTCCCACCCTAAGCTCTCACGATTATACTATTATGATTTGATTCTTCACTGACACTAATATTGCTCCTCTGAGTGCCTAGGATGAGTGTTTATTTAGTTTATTTATGCATTTATGATGCTCTTGAGTATTTTGACAATCAGGAACCACAGAAATGTGAGGAAAGCCAAGCCAAATGCACTTCAAGCAGTCTCCCTGCCATGAAAGCTGTGAGCCCTGAAGTCATTTACCTGATAATCTGTTCTATGGGTGCTAGCAAGCATTAGACCCCGTAGACATGTGGTGCTGGGGAGGCTGTAAGCCAAGGAATCTGGGCAGGTATAACAGGAACCGAAGACTTAAGCAGAAAGCTGACAAGAACACCATACCGCTACTTCTCTGAGGTCACCAACAGCATCTCAGTCCAAGAGTAGCCAGACCCATTAAACAAAAGCATAAATGATGGGAATCAGATCCTTTTTTGGAAGACATCAGGATTGCTAGGATATTTAGTGTCTTTAGGGAAGAAAAAGTATGAAGAAAGGCAGCTAAGGACACTGGAGACAAATGTCTCGTGTTTTCATGATTTTACTTGTTAACTTTCCACTCGGCAGACAGAATCTGGGCACAGGGACTTTGCCTGCAGCTGTCATGGGGAGCTCTGCTGTAAATATATTAGCATATAAGCACAGTATACAAGGAATTTGTTAGTCTGACAGCACATAATGTAGTTTAATCAATATAATTATTGAAAAAAATAATTTACACACAATTGCTCATTCACTCGAGTATCTGGGAACCTCAAAGAGAAAAAGAAATGGTTTTTCTATGCTGAAGATGAGAGCTTCAGAATAGGTAGATTCTGGTTGTAAGGCAGTCTTAATCTTAATAATGGAAGATCTTAATCTTTGATGGTAGACGCTAGTCCTCCTCTCACATAAATACTGAGGAATGCTAAGAAATGCTAGTTTCTGCAGACATCTTTCCTGCTTCAAAAAGACAAGCTTCACTTTGATCTGTTTCCCATGTGGACTCTGTATGATTTCTTTCAGAGGGGGAAAAATGAAGAGAGTCCTGCCACTTTAAAAAACAAAAACAACATGAAACAAACAAAACACCTCTCTCTAAAATCTCTAGAAAACACTCCATCCGGCCTTTCCCTTTCCTCCTCAGCTCAAATCAGAAGCAACTCACCACAATTAAAACAAAGAGTTTCCTTCTCATCTTTCATCACTCAAAAGGCCAGAAGAGCTCTAATCCCTCAGAGAAAAAAAAATCATTCCATATAATTATGGGTGCATTGACATCAATGATTTTCTGAGTTTATTTTTTAAATGCCATTGTTTGGTAAATGCCATTTCTAAAATGTCATTATTTTTTTAATGCCACTAAACCACATTAAGAGTGGTTTAGTAGCATTGAAGTGCAAATGAAAAAAAAGAATATATTTTTTGTAAATTTAAGAGAGTAAGAATAAAAGGTTCTTAGGACTGTATACTCTCCATAAGAATCATGAAGAGTAATGCCGAAGATCAGAGAAAACTAACCAGTATTTATAATGATGTTCACTTCTATTGTGGCCTGAGCCTTGGGGTGTTTGGAGCAATTTTTCAACCCTTCTGAGCCTTATTTTTCTCACTTTTAAAATGAGGGTGTTAAAGGCAGGTGATCTCAACATCTTTTCCCAACTTACCCAGCTTTGGATTTTTTTTTCTGGTTATAAAATTATTCTGATTATTTTTTCTTAGAAAAAATATAGATAGGAAAATGTATATTTCTGTTAATTCTACCACTCACAGATAACCAGTTCGGTGTATATTCTTCTAGGTAATGCTTGGGTTCTTTTTTTAAAAGCCATAACGACCACAATAAACACAGTAGAATCTCTTTTCTGCTTTATCTCTCTGAAGAATATGTGAGCTTTTTTTTCCCCCTGTTTTAGTATTTAAGTGCTTAACAATTGAGGTTCTGGCAACTAAAACTGCACAGGCAGCAGCTCCGTTTTTCTCAGAATCAAGCGAAACTGAACAGGCAATTAAAAGTTACTGAACTGCAAGGTAAAATTACTTCCCTGCTATGCTTCTGGGTGACTAAAGAAGGGAGACAATGGAAACCATATTTAGAATTAAGATAGAAGGATGGAACATAGCAGTCTGCTCTACTAAAATGGAATCTATAAGCATTACACATAATCAGCAGCACTTCAATCATGCTCTTTGCTCACAGTTACATGGAAGATTACACAAAACAAATGTGCAATATTCAAATCTGTGGCATTGCTGGTTAACAGAAGGCACTTCTCTCCCAGCCCACACGGTGATCCAAATTGTCTCCTGTACAGTCAGTGCCCATCTCACAAATGGGCTATGCTCCAAGCATCTACTTGTAAGCTCATTGTTCCATTCTCTGTATTAAGTTTCTCATAGAATTAATGTTATAAATTGTCCTCAGATTCCTAGGCTAGCCTATATGGGCCAGCTTATTAAAAGGCACATTATCAAAAAATAACATCAAGAAGACTATGCAAATTAACCACCATAGTAATGCTTCTTTTGAAGTTGTATTCAGAGGTCAATTGTGGAAGCACAAGAATAGCTCTCCTCTTCTGAAAATTACTGGTGACAGTTTCCATCCTTAGAGACAAATGGTAAGACAGAAGAATAAAGTTTAAAGAATTTCGGGAATTCAATCAGGAGGATTCAGGGCCAGAGATCAAGGAAAAGGATTCACATTGAACTGGGAAAGCAGTAAACGGCATGAGATGAAGGAGTTGGTAGTATGCCTGATAATGCTTAAGAAAGGAGAAAATGATTACAGTATGGAGAAACAGAGCCTTCTTCTAGGGTATCTTCCCATGACTTTGAGCTCTTATCTTAGTTAGAAGCTTGGAGGCTATAATATCTGGATGTCATCTGTTTTCCACACTCAGTAGAAATGTTGGGGGAAGAGGATTTGGTGAACTGGGGTAAAGATAAAAATGAGCAGTGGAAGTCTGGGGAAGTATTAAGACATTTCCATTCCAACTGAAACCTTATGTCTATCACCTCTCCCTCCACTGAGGACTCTACCTGGTGACTTGTATTGGGAATAGTTAAGATGCCTGGAAAATGCAGTGGATCTTGAAATGATAATTTCAAACATTTAATAGGGTAGCTCAAACATCAAACAACAATGAAAATAAATAGGAATGTGGAAGTCAAGCAACGGAAGATCTTGCCACATGCAACCAGTATAGCCATTTGCACAATAAGAATCACATTAAATTGGATTAAGCAATCTGTGAGAATCTCCTTAGGATAATATTTTTACATAACAAGGGAATCAACAAAGCAGATTTTATAACTGATGTCATGTAATAAAATATGAAACCCACTCTTAAAGGTTATGATTCTATTGGTACAGTTAAGTATAAATCTGCTGGAGATAGTAAGGTAGTAAGATTAATAAGTAACAAACACATGTTCTGCTATAAAGGTCACTTTTGATTTAATGAGAAATACAAATTTGCCGAAAATATGTCTTCCTTCTTTAGGAGGGGATGGTGGTACTAAAATTTAATAAAATAGGGTAAAAAAATGTCAAAATATCAATCAGAAAACCTAAGGTGAACTGAAAGCAGTTACTGTGGAGTACAGTATCTACTATGAGATTTCTTTTAGGTAACTTTTTTATGTCGTCCAACCTCAATTATCAATTTTCCTCAAAATTACAATTCGAAAATACCAAAAGAAAAAATAATAACTGTTTTTGGGATCCACGAGGACATTATTAAAGAGTATTTTGGAGTTATATTTGCTGCCAATATCATGTACTGAATGTTCAGAGAAATATTTTCTGCTCTGCGTTTAAAAATGACAAATAACTATGAAAGACATGTTACTAGACATGGAGGAGATAATCAAAAGACCAAAATACATGTAATCACTGTTCCAGAAGGAGAGGGGAAAGAGAATGGACAAAAGACTCACAATTCTACATAATTGATTAATTAGACAAATCCTAATATCAGGAAGCCCAGTGAATCCAAAGCAAGAATAATAAAAAGAAACCCTTACCAAGACAGACAGACACATGAGCAAGAAATAATTGAAAATGCAAGGAAAGAGATCTTTAAAACAGTCAGGAAGAATGAAACAGTAGTTAGAAATAAATGATAACTAGATTTACAACTAACTTTTCAACACTTACAATGGAAGCTAGAGGGCAATGGGATAATATCTCCAAAATATAAGAGACAACAGCTGTTCTATTACAATTGCTATACCCAGTGGAAAAAAAAATTCAAAATGAGGTTAAAATAAAGCTATTTCAAACAATTAAAAAATGAAAGAATGTACTAACAAAAGACCTTCACGAATGAAACATCTAAATAATGTATATAAAACAAAGGAAAATAATCACAGAAAAAAACGTCTAAGATGAAAGAAGAAAAGTAAAACCATGGCAAACATCTCAGTAAATCTAAAGAAAGCCTTACTTTGTAAAAATATTAACAGTGTTTAATTTATAGAGTTCATACAACAAAAGTCAAAGCCACCAACAACATGTCATTCCAAAAAGATCATGAAAGGAATTGAAACATTCAAAGGTCCTTTTATTGTCTGAGAGGAAAATATTAGTTAACATTAGATGTTGTAACCTCAGCTATTCATGTTTTATATTTAATGATTTCAAGGTAGAGGTAGAAAAGTATATCTTAAACAGGATATTAAAATACAAACTATAAAGGGAAATACTGATAATTTAACTATATCAAATTTTAGAACTCCATTCACCAAAATATACCATAAAAAGACTGAAAATTCCAGTCACATACTAGAAGAATAAACATAACAAAATATAATGAATTCTAAGCATCAATAAAGAAATGATAAATAATCTAATAGGAAAAAAATGGACTAAAAATGTGAACAGATATTTCACAGAAGGGGAAACACAAATAACCCAGAAACATATGAAGACATGTACAACATCATTAGTAATCAGGAGAATTCAAATTAAATCACAATGAAATACCATTGTACAATCACCGCACTGGCAAAAAATTTAAAAGTTTAGATGAGAACACAGAGCAATAGGAAGTCATCATCCCCCAGTGGACAGCAGGTGAATGGTAAGTAATTTTACTAGGAACGTTACATGTGCATCCTGTATGCATTATATGTACTGCAACAATACTGCTCCTGAGTCTATGCCCTAGAGAAATTCTTGTGCATGATCCAGAGTCACATGAAACAGGGTTCAAGGAGCACTGTTTGTAAGAGCAAACACTCAAAACCACCCAAATATCCATGAGCATAGAGTGGGTTACAATATTGTGATTTTTTTTCACTCAGTAGAATGATACACAGTGGTAAGAATGATTAAATTAAATGCTATAATAAACCCCAAACAAGTTTGACAGACAAAAATGAAGGAATAAAACTACTATTATTCCATTTATATAAAATTCAAAAACAGGCAAAAGTAAACAGTATATCATTTACTGATACATGCATATATGATAAAACTATTTTAAAAAGTAAGAAGATTATAAACACAAAATTCAGAAGGTAGCTAGCTATCTCAGGATAAATAAGAGGGGCATACACAGTGCTTCAGATAGGTACTGCTGTATTTATGTCATGTGCTGGCCACAAAGTTTTTCAATTTTTAATTACATTTTAGTAGACACACATGAATTATATAAGTTTTAAAGGTAAATTATTATCACAATAAAGAAATATTTAATATTGTTAATTGCAGTTTAATAAACATAATAAGTTTAAATTAAGAAGAAAAGCTTTTCTTTTAAACTAAATGTTTAAAATTTGGGATTTTTATTAAAAAATCACATTTAAAGAAACATGGCAAAACTGGAGTTTAAATGGGGGTTCTTTTCTGAGTCATATATTTGCATAGTGTCAGTGGAATAATAATGACTCTAGTTATTCTGACTGAAAGTTGAAAATGTTTGTTTGTTTAATTATTTTAGTTTGTACTTCATTTTTATAGCATTCCCTCACATTAATTATATATTGTAGTTGCATTATGCAAAATGAAAACAAATAAAGTTAGAAATACTATGCTTCATAAAACGTAGCATAAAGTTACACTGGCTGATACTCACAGTCATTTGTATAGCCATTGCCTTGAAATATACTGATCACAAGCTCCTTTATCTCCAAAATGTCTGAATGCTGTTAACATGAGAAAAAGACACCTGACTAACTTGACTGACCTGCAGCAAAATTATTTGTTTTCATCGAAAAGGAAGGTGCCCTCCTCTCTGTTACTCACTTTTTTCCTTTCTGAACTAATTTCTGAGAAAATTACTCAATTAATAGCACTAATTTATAAAATTAATTGTGTAATTTGCCTAGATTCCAGGCATTCATTAGCTCTCATGGAAGCACCTGTGTGGAGAAAACTATCAGGACTCTTTGGAAAGAAGACAGTGGCAGACAGTGGCAGACAGTGGCAGACAGTGGCACCGTAGCACCTCAAATAATGCAACAAAGACCCCTACGCGAGCTTGCATCCTGTCAAAGAAGCTGTTTTCTGCTCTATTGAAATCTTTGGCTTCAAGCACTAACCTCCTCTCATATTCCTTTGTCCCTTAAGCTCCAACTTCACTATGCAATCGTCCTCTCTATTCTTGCCTCCTCCAGTTCTAACTCAAGTTTCAGTCTTATTAGAAATAGGACATGCTCACTTTGGCAAGACATGGCTCCTTTTTTACCCAGAGGGTAAAGCACTATAGCAACAAGAGGTACACAGGTAAAGGACAGTGTTATCGAAACCTAACATTTCCCTAACTATGCCCACCCTCACTCCTCATCAGTGAGCTTCTCCTGTAACCTGGACCATTCCAAACACTAACAATGACTGAGAAGCAAAAAGTTTCCACAGCCTTCTAACATCATCAATTCAAGTGCCTAACAATTCTAATGAGAAGGGTCTTGAATGATAATATTTAAAGCTATTTTTTCTTATTTTATCAGATAAATAATCAATTTTTTAAAAAGGTATTCATTTATTCTTATACCTCAATCATATATATATATATATATATATATATATATATATATATATATATAGTATATGATTAGCATCAGGTTAGTCTGGGAGTAGGAATGGGTTTGTTTGATTAAGAAATAAAAAATAAGCATAGTATCTTACTATAAAAATGTTATACTTAGAAGAGAATGTATACATTTAAAGAGAATTAAAATGAAAATGTTTTCATTTCTATATGTTAATATAATACAGTGCCAAACGATTTGGCAATGGCATTAAGTGACACAGAAGTTCAAAGCACAGACAAATACCAATGTGAGCAGGAGTCATAAAGGCTTCCAAGAGGAACTAGAAAGAGAGCTAGGATTTAGGGAATTGATGAATGGACAGGAGCTAAAAACACAGAGGGGAAGGAGGAGGGTATTTCTGGCATTGGAAATCGAATATGAAATTCAGCTCAAGCATGTGAAGATAAGTAGGGGCTATGACCGTGAGGTATGGAGGGGGCTGATGCCAGTAGCTGCTCTGATGAGAATATGAAGAGAAGTACCACAAACACTTTGAAGTCTGGCTGTTTCATTCATTGAACTATTGGAATGTGCATTGAATGCCATCTGATTCAACAGCAATGGTTTGTACTCTTCTATCCTCTGATAATTTGCTGGCAGCACACACCTTCTGTCATGCCAAATTACTGCAGCCTGAAAGTTGTGTAGGAAAATCTGTGGTGGCAAATTAAGTCCTTGCCATCCTGAAAGAATCCAGGCATTCAGGATTGATTATTAACAACTGGAAAGCTGAGGAAGCAAAGAGAAAATCATCACCGTCTACAGCCAAAGTCCCAAAGCCAGTAACCATATAGATATTAACATTAGGTAGCCTCACTGGAACAAAAGCATTCTTTGGTCTCTAACCACATATAATTCAGAGAGATAGCACAGTATGCAGAAAAACCAGACTAAGTATCCTGGAATGCATGACTCTACACCAAAGCGATATATAAAGTATCCAGAGATACCTAGTATGACACTGTCACTGGTCCAACACATTGTCTGTATTCCTAAATCTAAGAAATCATAGAACTAACAGGGATTATGTTGTTGAATGCAGTATGTCCCATTAGAACAAGGAGTGAAGTGATATTCACTCACTGGGAGAAATAAACTGCAGTTCGTGTCTAAGATATAGAAAGATTCACCTTTTCCATCCTATGGACCAGTAACATAATGTATACCTTTGAACTTTAAAGAGTTTAAACAGTGCATAGCTTTATAAATTTGTAGTGAGAATCAGGGAGACATAAAGTTACAAAATGAACATTTTTTTTTCCTAAGTAGCAGTACTTTTCGAGAAACGGAAGGTATTGAATATTCACTACCTTTTAAAAGATAGCAAATGAGAGAGGCAAGGTGCTTTTTGTTTGGTTTTGTTTTAAATTGGGGAAAATGACAAAAATTAGCAGTTATTAACTTCACTTTTCATTAGATTTAATACTATCTTCCATTCTACAATATTGTATAATATCCCATTCTACATTGCACTCCATTCTAATAATAATAAAATAATAAAACAATTAACCAGAAGTAGCTAACTAGTATCTATGAAAATACTTACATGCCAGATATGACATTAAATGATCTAGAAACATTATCTCATTTAATTTTTATATTTACTGTAATATGTATTATCTGCCCATTTTGTAGATGAGAATTAGCTGAGTTATCATTGATGCTTAGATTAGCAAAGTGGTCTACCTGTGATCACAGACGTAAAAAATTACAACATCAAAAAAAAAAAAAAAAAACAGTCTGTCATGTGCACTTCAAGCCTGAAATGGATTAAATCTAGGGACTAAACACCTACTACCTGGTCAGATGTTACAATCAAAGAAGGTTCCTGGAGACAAGGGCTAACTAGAAGGTTAACACAAGGACCACGAAGGCCAATTCCTTTTTATCACCTTAGCTATGTAACCGTAGGAGTTGCCTCAAAACAATCATTTATAAAGGTGAGAACAAACAACAACAACAAAAACCCAGAAACCTCCAAATACTTCGTGATTGGAAGAGTGCTGTTGTGGGGTATGAGCAAGCTGGTTGCATTTAATAATCTGACCATCAAGAACCATTCTGTTCACTTCTGTATTAATTACAGTAAAATGTGTGTAATATATCTGATCCCTAGAAGATACCTTTTTAAAAGTATGCAAACACATTTTAAACAAGGAATTGACAACAATGATTTCTTAGACAAGGAATTTTTCAGGTGATAACTGTTTTAGAATGATGCTACTCTGTAAGTATGAAAGTTCTCTAATCTATCACTAGATTGGCTAACTAATGAGGATGAGTAGAGACAGAATATGAATTTAAATACGCATTCATTCCTTGCCTTCACCAAGATTTATTTGTAAATCAATGTTATTTTATTTTCCCATTAGTTATATTTGAAGTAATTCATTCCAAATATAGAAAATAATTAATTCTTGAAAAATTAAATTCAAAAGCTACAATTTAAAAATTAAGTTTCATGGAGTTAAGTATTAAAAGACATTAGTCCTAAACACAGTCTATTCCTTGACACCAGTGTTTTCTCTGTAAGCCATTCTGTATAATAAGCCGACTAACATTCTAACACCTACTCTAAAATGATGATCTCTCTCCTAACTGTAAAATAATTCTAGTATTATTTTTCATTATTAACTATGATTTTGAAAAGTTGAAATGATTTAGTTGTATGACAGTATATATTAGAATTTAGTGGAATGTAAGCATAAAAAACTATTTAACAACGTTCTTCTAAGAGTCAGCTCATAGGTCATATCCTTCATAAAACTTATCGGAAGCTTTCTTCCACCCAATTAACAAATCCCTGAGGGGTCAACTGTACCCTATATGGTTGTTCAGAGTCTGTCATTCCTTGAGTAATACATTATAATAGTAGCTCTAAAACTTTAACATACAGCAGAATCTTCTGGAGTGCTGGTTAAACTACAAATTGCAGAGCCTCACAGTCAGAGTTCCTGATTTATGAGGTCTGGGTGGAACAAAATAATTTGCATTTCTGTACAATCCTAAGGTGAAGCTGATGCTGTCAGTCTGGGGACCACATTTTGAGAACCACTGCTTTCAGAGTGTTTCATTTTCAAAAAGTCTGCCTCCCACTATGAGACTAGAACCACTAAAGAGCAGATATGGTGCCTAGCATGTTCTAGGCACTCAATACATATTTCTGAATGAAAGAATGCAGAGGCCCCTGCAATGTTTGGAGGAGAACCAAATGAAAAATGAGAAGACTGACAACGCAAGTTTCGGGAAATAAACTATATATATATATATATATATAACTTAGCAGATTCAAATTTTATTTAAACCACTGTGAAGTCAATACTCTGACCTTACAAATGGTTCAGTGAAAATCTTTTGATGTAAAGAAAAATGCGAAGAGTTTGAAATTAATACTTGGTCTAGGTTCCTCTAAGTCCTTTTCCAAAATATGCCTATGTGTATCTGTTCATTAAGCAAACATTTACTGAATATATACCATAAGCAATCAAGCTAGAAAACATAGGAAACGACAAGTTGACCAAAGTATTACTTCATTTTAACAAAAGTGGATCAAACAAGTATTCATCATACAATTCTAGGAAAGGGGGGTACCAACCGCCAGAAACAAGAGATGTTCTAGAAACTCAAAGTAGTTCACTAGTGAGGATTTTGAGGTAGGTAGCAGATAGGGAATCACAGAAAGAGCTGGAAAACTACGTAAACATATAAAGCTGGCCCGAGGACGGGAAGGCTTTGAATGTAAGACTAAGGAATTTGAACTTACTTTTGTAGGGGTGAGAAGAAAGCAATACTTAGCAAAACTAAACTTCAGGCAGGGTATATGCTTGAGTAGAAGGAGACTAGAGGCAGAAGGACTAGTGAGAAAGCTACTGAAATGTTCTCCACAGAGGTCAGAGCGACCTAAACCAGGTGGTAGCATTAGGAGTGAAACACACAGAAGGCAAAATCAGCAGTTAGGCAACCGATTAAATGCATGGCAAGAGAGAGAAAAATGAATTAAATGGAAAGGTTTTGAGCCTTAATGACCCAATAAATGAAGATGCCACTTAAAAGCTAAAGAAGCCAAGATGATAGAGTCAATATACTTAAAGACAATTAATCATAAACTTCAGAAGCACTCACTTGCAGGAACTTCTATCAGAGCCCTGGGTTGGGGGAATCCTAGCAGTGTGTTCACTTTGCCATATACATGTGTAAAGTGTGTAAGTCTTTTATTTTATTTTATTTTATTTGTTTATTTATTTGAGACGGAGTCTCGCTCTGTCGCCAGGTTGAAGTGCAGTGGCGCAATCTCGGCTCATTGCAAGCTCCGCCTCCCGGGTTCACGCCATTCTCCTGCCTCAGCCTCCCGAGTAGCTGGGACTGCAGGCGCCCGCCATCGCGCCCGGCTAAGTGTGTAAGTCATTTCTATCTTGCCTGCTTAAGCTTCTCCTTCCACTCCTCCAACATTTCCTTAGTCACACTCACCTCCCACCAGATGGCCCTGGAGAGGCTGTGGTCATTTTTATTTAACTTTTGGCATTCTTTCCTTAATTGGAACTCCTTGAATTATATTAGCTTTAAGCCCTGAAAAATCTGAATCTGACCCTGCAAGAATAGTTTCTGGTTGTGAGGAAGCTGTGCTCAGTTGTATTCTTGGACTTTGATGCACTACCCAGAATTTCAGGTGGAAAAAGCCCACCATGGGTTTAAAAATCTAGCAGAACATTTGGGACTGGGGAAATACATGAGGATAGTTGATGAAATTACTCAAGAAGAGAAAACAGACAGAGGGGAGAAGACCTAACATTAAATTTCTGTACCCTGACATCAAGAACAGGAAGAAGAAACTGAGAAAGAAGAAGAGGATGGAACAATCAGAATGGATGAAAACAACAATAAAACAATGTAGTCCAGTGACATAAATGCCAAGGGAAGAATGAATCTTAACTAAGTAAAGATGTAGACTGTTCCCTGTGCTGAAAAGACCAGAAAAGATGAGTGCTGATATAAAGCCATTCCTATGGATTGGTGGTCACTGGAAGGGAAGATATGAATAGAGGGAGAAGTTTGTCATGCCCCCCACCAGGTCCCATGGCGGAGCTACAGGACAGTTTTTCTAACCTCCCTTAGGGGGATGGGGACTAAAATTTGCTGCTGCTCTAGTGACAAGCAGTTTACATATCCACTGGAATATCGTAAGATGGTAAGCTAGTATGATTGACATTTTACAAATGAGAAAACGTGTCCAAAGTGACACCACCAACCAGAGCTGGAACTCAAATTCCAGATTTTCCTAACTCCAAGTCTACTGTCTTATTCTCATGGCCAATTTTAATAGCAATGTACCTATCTATCTTCACTATTATTAACAGTATTATTCAAATAATTACCTGGAATTTAGAAACAGAATAGCCTTGTCTAATTTTAGGACTGTTTTCTGAGGTTCCACTTCAATTAGAAATGCACACATTAGAAAATGCACGCTATTGCTTCAGTAATATTTTATATGTTTGTAACCCTTTATTTAAAAATTAATCTGATAACATTTGTGAACATGTTAAAAAGCTAAAATGTCAGCACTTTACTTTTCCTTCTTCACAGTTTCTAATCTGTAGAGCCTAACAAAAAAATGATTAACATTTCAAAAGAAAACAAGGAAAAACCTGGTAGAAATATATTTAGCAGAGAAAGTTTCTAAGTATGATCTGTTGTTTGAATATATTTTTTAAAAAGAAGTTCAAAGTAAGCATTTTACTTCTTGCATTCATAAAGTGTTTATCAGTTTTCATCAAAACAAAGAAAATAAGACACGATTTTGTTTTTTTCATTTCATGGGCTGATTTTTCATATTTTAAAAATATTTTACGTTTGTAGTCCAATATTAATATTTAACACATGGATTAATGTACATGTGCTGAAAGATGAATTGAATAAATGCCAGGAATTATTAACAAGCAATTTCAACTAAAACTATAAAACAATTTCAGCAACAATTACCTTAAGTGATAAATTTTCCTTCAATTTAAGAAATAATTTTATCCCTCAGCTGTTTATTGAAATTATTATTTTGTACTTGCTGTATCTGAAGACAGCAAAAGACTTAGCCCATGTAAAAGTAGAAAGTACTTTTTCATAAGTATTTTAATTTCTTACGATAACACTTAGCTATTAAATAAAATTGCGGGCTGGCAGCTGTAGGCTCAGGCATATAATGGAAGAGAAAGATGGAAATACCAAAGGGGCAGGTAGTCATGAGCAAGGACCTGAAACTTTGATATATTTGAAGTTTTCACCTGCAACCTTATCTTCAGTTTGGTAGTAACACTACTATTTAGTGTTACTTGCTTATAGTTGTTTCTATCCATTAACTTGCTTTGTTACCTTTTGCTATGTATATAATTATATTCTATGTACATAATTATATAGAGTTGATGCTATCCTAAACAATGCTTTAAAGGGTATATTTTGTAATTCCTAGGCTGTTCTTTGCTAAGGGACTTCAGCTAGAGCACACCTATGGTGCAATTTACTGTGTTGAAACTAGGCAGAACATCAACAATAAAATTTGGAACACACCTTAGGTATGGCTAAAATTTTTTAAACTGACAATACTAAGTGTAAACAAAAAAACAGAAACACTGTAATTCTCATATATTATCAGTGGAAGTTTAAAATCATGCACCCACCTTGAGAAACTGTGGGACAAAGTCTAACAAAGTTAAACAAAATCCTGTTTCCTAGCCTTTCCACTTTTAATATATGCTCAATAGAAATGACTATTGTGTCCCAACTCATTTAAAAATGCTTATAGGTATAATAGCCCCAAACTGGAAACAAACCAAATGTTCTTCCACATGAGAATAAATAATCAAATCGTGGTATATGCATACAATGGAATATGACTCAGAAATAAAAAATAACCAACCAATGATACATACAACATGGATAAATTTCAAAAATATGATGATCCAAAGAAACCAGACACAAAACAGAACATTCTTTACAATCCCATTTATATCAACTTCAGGACAGGGAAAATCACTTATGATGATAGTTATCAGAATAGCAGCTGGGCAGAGGAGAACTGTGACTAAGACGTAGCTTGAGAGTCACTTCCTAGAATTACAGAAATGCCCTGTGTATGGATGTGGGTAGTAAACACATGTGGGTATATATAGGTTAAAATTATTCCACTGACTTATACACTTAAAAACTTGCACAATTGTATTGTATTTAAATTATATTTCATTGTTAAATAGAAGTCAAAACCAAAGAAAACCTTCATCATGCTTCTTTTTCTTTTTTCTTCTCCCTCCCTCCCTCCTTCCCTCCCTTCCTTCCTTTCCTCCTTTCTTTCTTTTTTTTTGTTTTGACAGAGTCTCGCTCTTTCACCCGGGCTGAAGTGCAGTGGAAAAATCTCAGCTCACTGCAACCTCTGCCTCCCACGTTCAAGGGATTCTCCTGCTTCAGCCTCCTGAGTAGCTGGGATTACAGGCATGAGCCACCTTGCCTGGCTAATTTTTGTATTTTTAGTAGAGACAGGGTTTCACCAGGTTGGCCAGGCTGGTCGCGAACTCCTGACCTCAAGTAATCTCCCGCCTTGGCCTCCCAAAATGCTGGGATTACAGGTGTGAGCCACTGTGCCCGGCCACTTCTTTTTCTTACATGGCCACTTATTTTTCTTCTTTTTCTTATATTTTTTATATGTGTATTCTGATTTTCCTCGTAGGATTTTTTGCTTGTTGAAATGAAGCAGTTAAGATGTGACTAATACAACAGAGAGCATCTTGAAAAGAATGACATCATATAGCAAGCCTGTCCAATCTGCAGCCTGCATATGACCTAGGGTGGCTTTGAATGTGGCCCAACACACATTCGTAAACTTCCTTAAAACATGAGATATTTTTGTAATTTTTTTTGTTTTTTTTTTAGTTCATCAGTTATTGTTAGTGCTAGTGTATTTTATGTGTGGCCCAAGACAATTCTTCTTCCAATGTGGCCCAGGGAAGCCAAAAGCATGGACACCCCTGTATAGCATGAGTAAACACCTCAGCACCAAGGCTAGTAACAGAAGAGATGAATGACTTAATAACATTTAATTCCCTCACTCTCCCTTCTCCAGGCTGCAGCATTCTCAAGAATGAATTGGAAACTTCGGTTGGGTGTGGTGGCTCACACCTATAATCCCAGCACTTTGGGAGGCCGAAGTGGGTGAATCACGAGGTCAGGAGTTCGAGACCAGCCTGGCCAACAGGGTGAAACCCATCTTTACGAAAAATACAAAAAAAAATAGCTGGCATAGTGGTGGGCACCTGTAATCCCAGCTACTCAGGAGGCCGAGGCAGGAAAATCGTTTGAAACCAGGAGGCAGAGGTTGCAGTGAGCCGAGATCGTGTCACTGAACTCCAGCCCAGGCAACAGAGTGAGACTCCATCTCAAAAACAAAAACAAAAAAAGAATTGGAAACTTTTCATTTCCTACTAATTCCGTCACCGCTATAAACTTCTGTCACCTCTCCTAAATTCCAAAACCTCACTATGCTAGTAAGAGCCTCATGCACTTGACTCCTGACCCAGAACTGCTTGGTCAACCTTCTAACACATCTTGTCTCTTGTTATTTCAAGCACAGTTATCTGAGTAGATGCTAGCTCAATACCCCCTGCCTGTGGAAATATATTAAATGCCTCCACATACAGAATCATCTCCAAGGGGTAGAAGATAAGAAGGCTAGAAAAGAAGTTAACAATAGAGAAAAATACCAATAGATTGATTACAGGAAAATATTACATTCCTAAACATTAATAGCACCATAAACAAAATTAAAAGGTATGTAATTAACTGAGAAAAAAATGTTAGCAATATATATAAAAATACTAAAAAGGGCTAACAACATCAATAAAGAATTCTTGCAAATCAATGTGAATAAAAGGAACACATCACTAGGTAATGCAAGGTAATGAACAGATAATTTGGTGAAATACAATTGGCAAATCCACATGTGAAGATGTTCAAACGCAGTAGAAGTTAAAACAGTGTAAAACAGTTAAAACGATGAGGGTTTTTTTTTCTTATAAAATGATAAGGACTGAAAATAATAATTGCAATCTGGGAGGCCCATTGTGCTGGATAGTACAGGAGGTAGTATAAAGAAACATACAGAGGAGGAGAACTCAGTTTGGCAGTGAGTATTAAAAATCTAAAAATAACTATACCTTCTAACTCATTTCCACACTTCGTACACAATACAAATATTTAGATTAAACTATCATATATAACAGTAGTGTGTGTGTGTGTGTGTGTGTGTGTGTGTGTGTGTGTGTATATATATATATATATATATATATATATATATATATATATATATATATATATATATTTTTTTTTTTCCCCCCCGAGACGGAGTCTCACTCTGTCACCCAGGCTACAGTGCGGTGGAGCAACCTCGGCTCACTGCAACCTCCACCTCCCAGGTTCGAATGATTCTCCAGCCTCAGTCTCCCGAGTAGCTAGGAATATAGGCATGTGCCACCATGCCCGGCTAATTTTTTTAATTTTAATAGAGACAGGGTTTCACTATGTTGGCCAGGCTGGTCTTGAAATCCTGACCTCGTGACCCACCCGCCTCGGCCTCCAAAAGTGCTGGGATTACAGGCGTGAGCCACTGCACCCGGCCAGTGTTTATAAAATTTTTAATGGAAAAAAATCTATCTGTCCAATATCAAAAAGATTGGTAAAATAAGTGCAGTCTAGATGATATGCCACGTATCTCTAAATATTTATATTATAGAAGGAAATTAATATCAACAAAAGATGTGTATGATGCCATATTAGTTTTTTTAAAAAGGTTGCAATACAGTCTGCACAGTAGGCTTCTATTTTTTTTTAAATGATTAAATACATAAAGGCAAACTACTAAAAGGAATATACCAAAATTTTAATAGTGATTTTCTTTAGATACGATTCTGGATATTCTATTTTCGTTCTCAAACTTCTGTTTTCCAAATCTTCTATAGCGATAATTATAATCACTAATAACCAATGTTATCGAAAATTTCCATGATCTCTAAATGCCTTAAAGAGTTCGACAGAAAGAATTTAAAAACATAGGCTCTCCTTTTTCTTCTTTCATTAGTGATGATGGGCTATTAAAACAAGGCCACGTCCTTTTGCTTTAACCTCCCATCCCCAGGGATTTCACATTAGAATGTCCTTCCTCCCAATACCTACTCCTAACCTTCCCCAACCCAGAAGTTAGTTTCTCTCCATTAAAAAAATCCCCACAGTAGTATAAATTAAGCAAGGAACCATTTTAAACTGTCAGCTTAATGGTGCACACAGGAAATATGGCTGCTCTCAGTGCAAGAAAATTTTAATGAATAAAGTAGCTTAAGAAAAAGATATTTTCCAACTATAAGTGGAAAACTTGTTCAGTTTCTCAGAGGTTGTTTACTGCCATAGGAATTACCTATTTAAACTTCTTCACAACGTTATCACTTGGATATGGTTAGGTTATTCTGCGTGTGGGCGACTCATTAATAAAGCTGAAGGAAAAGCAGGACAGTGCTAGGAAAGAAATCTAGAGCTGGACATTTAATATTCTTGTGTGTCAGAGACTACATTTGTAATATTAGGGGTGGGAAGTAGTTACTTGCTAAAATCCCACTTTATACTCCGTTTCTGATTCTAGGGGTGTTTTTGTCATCCATACAAAGTCAAAAAGAATGCAAAATTATAACCCAATAATAATGTCATTTTTTAAAGAAAAGTATAGATGATTCAAGACCAAGAAAGAGGCAGTTCATAAAAGATTTAATGTTGAAAAACCACAAACATAAAAGGAGGCTAAAATTGGAAAAGACATTATAAAATCTAAAACTTTAAAAATTTGATATGATAAAATATATGCTGGAAATAATATGCAAGAAAGCTGCATCAAAGCTTTCTTGGTCAAAGGAAAAAGTGTTAACTATTAAGAGATTTTTTACCTTAAAAAATACAAAGAAACAACTTAGTTTGCATTATAGACTAAAATAATCTTTTCAAAGGATATTGAGAATAGAGGACCAAAGAGTGTTTTTATGGAAGGACAAAAGGAGAATGCAGAGTGAGATTTAAAAGTTGTGTGTGTGCATGCATATAACCCTCAAAAGTATAACTCCACACCAAAAACAAAGAAGTAGCTGTATCTAGGGATGTTCTATTCCATCAAAACTATGTCTGTGAAGCTTTAAAGGGAATCTTCTTGCAGTCTACTTCCTATATGAATACTCTCTATGTATAACAGTTCATTCTAAGAGAAGAGCAATAGATTTAACCACTTGTTAGTATCCTTGTTAGCAGTATATCAACAGCAATTGATCACTAATGTGAAGGTATCAGGTTTTAGGTAACTTCCAACACCATTCTCCTTGTGTTCAAGTGATTTTCCTGCATCCTCTGAATAGAAACCATCACTGCTAAGAATTGCTCCTTAGACAGTACCTGCTGGAGGCTTGCAAAGATCTTAGGTAAAAAGTCGTAAGTTGAAGATATTAGTTGATAATGGCATAAGGTCTTGTTCCTCAAGCAATTGTGCTAGGACCGTCTACATTATAATCTCTTAAAGTGGATATTTAGAAATGCAAATTCTTGAGCCCTACCCCCAGATTACTCAATAGAATCTTTAAAGGTACAACCTAGGCATGTGCAGTTTCAGTAAACTCCTTAGGTGATTCTGATACAGTTTAAATTTTAAGAATTAAAATTTAATTATATCTGTTTGTATTACATCTCTTCAACATACAGCAAATTTTAATAAAAGCTATCGAGGTACTAAGAAATGAATTGTAAATGGTGAAATCACAGGCAATGGAAGGAATATTTAGGTGTTGCAGGCAATTTATTATAGCTTGAAAATCATACCATGCTAACTGTAGCTAGCTTTAAAGTAAGTTCTGACTAACAGACTGAACATATTATTGCTTCTGTGTGAGTAGAAGAGGTTATTTAGAAATCTTTCTACAAACATTTGAGTATCTATGAAAATTTACTTTTGCACACTGAGATATAACAAAAACCACACTTTCTGTCCTCAGGAAATTTAATCCAGGAAAATTAGAGCTCTGTTTTGAAAGCAGAGGAAGTTAATTTAAAAAACACAGACTGGATGTATCTTAACATCACCTCCTAAGCTCACTAATGATACCTGAAAGCATTCACCTTCACCTAGTTGGAGAGATCTCTGCTGCAAGGAAAATGTTAACCATCTTGCCAGCTAGGCATCATTCTTCATACTATAATAAGCAAAAGGCATTTCCAAAGTGAGACTCTCTTTGTAAATTTGTTTGTCATTCTTGTGAAGAATCAGATGCTGTAATTATTAAGCTTTTTACAGAACATTTCAATTTTCCAATTGCTCTTTAATAATTCCCAGCAAGTAATTGGACATTTTAATTATATGTAGCTTCTTGTCACTGTTCATCTAAAAAACATCACAACATTAAACTAAGATGCTCAGCCTGAGTGTTTTCTTGGGTTGTATGCATATTTTTTGAGTTATTTCAACAATGATCAAAAGCCAGTGAGTTCATCCTTCAAACTGGAATCCTCATTTCTTTTCCAAAAGACAAAAACTAATAAGCAACAAAAAAATTAAACCATCACACTAACAAAATGTATTAAAAGTCAATCGATAATACTGGCCATCACACCAACAACCTCTACCTTTATTTTATTTTCCCATAAAGAGCCACTAATCCATTTTGTTTTTTTCTACTAGCTTAGCAAGTCCATATGGACTGGACCCTTTCAGTGTTTCTTTCCCAGAATCCCTGCAGAATCATTGATCTCCTTGATCTACTCATCTCTTTGATCTTTTGAGGATAGTCTACAAATAGCCTGTGCTCCCCTACGTGGGTGGCAATAGCAGCCCTGGAGCCTTCAAACCAGCTTATGGGGTTATAGTCCCAGCTCTGCCAGTTACAAACATGCGACTAAGTCAGGCCAATTAAAGTGACCGGGCTGCAACGTTGCCCTACCTGCAAAATGGGGCAAAAATCTTCCATATTTAATTTACAGGCTTGTGCAGATTTCATATGAAATAAAAAGAGAAGCCACTGTGTAAACCTTGAAATCTCTACAAATGTGAAAATGAAAATGAACCAAACATCTCCCCAATATTAGCATGACATCTATCAGGCTCCTATAGAAATCAGTAATGAAGGAGGATGTGTGCCCACCCAGCCATGCCATGGTACAAATGGGGCCTCTGGTGTGTCAGAAAAGCAACTGGAAAATGGAAAAGAGATGGTTCCCATCTTTCCTGTGTCTGTTCTAGGACACTGCGAGTCCTCCCGAAGGTGTCTGAAAGAACACAAGGCAGGCATGTTAAGTGTGAAAGACAGCAGAATGGATTTGACGGCCTCTATTAGGCCTGAGGTCTTTTGGCAGAGAGTGAGAGAATGTCCTATTCCAAGCAGAAGGCACCTGATAAGCACTTGATTGATTGGTCTCTGCATTCTTGGCACTCAGTGAAACACTGATTTGCCAGCAGAGTGTGTAAACACCCACATTTTGGTAATAACCTAAATATCTGCATATTGTGAATGAGGAGGCTGACTGAATGAAATTGTGTAAAAACAGAAAGTCAACTCCCTGCAAGTCTTGCCTTCACCATTCTCTTTGCAGATGCAGGACTTTTAACAGTGAGGATATTAGGACATCCACAAGTGAAGGATGGAGCCCTGCCCTGCTCTTTGGGAGCTTTTTGCCTGTGTGTGTGTGTCTGGCCCTCATTCAAGGATATGCTCCTCTCTGGCAACTCCCAGCCAATGTCTAGAGAGCACAGCACTGTGTTTTCCAACTTAACTAAGAATTAGGTCTCTTTGCTACTGCCTTTCCTTAAGACCAGGACCAAATATATATATATATATATATGTATGTAGATATTGTTTAACGGGCCTCACGTCTAGGCAAAATACACACACATACATACACACACGTACATACAAAGTCATTCATTCAATAGTAAGCTGCATTTGTCTGGAATTACTAACAAAAATTGAATTAGCAATTATTGCACTGTTGTTTTCTTTTAAAAGCACAAGTTAAAGTAGTGTTTTCTGCTCATGCTTAATAAGATTGCCTTTCTCTCTATTTACCACATACCCATCTTTCAGAGCTTCTCTAAAAGCCTATGTCTTTCTTGAAGCTTTTACTGATTCCCTTGCTGGAAAATGTATCTCTGATTTCTAAATACCTACACTGCCCTAGCACAGATTGCTAAGTCATGTTCTTTGGAGGTCCTATTTCCCAAATGGCAGGCACTCCATCACAAGGGTCTCCAAAATTCTCCAAAACACTAGGGAATGTATGAATATGTGAGGTGGGACCGATATTCATATTGGCTCCAGAGGAGCCAGGCAATGCTTTCTCCAGGGATACTTTTCACTATTATCTGTTATCTAGAAAATCGCCTTCATTTTAAGATATTTAGAAGAAAATCCAAGTTATGTGGTTTCATAGATTAAACTTATTGCTGGCACTTACATACCACTAAAAGTTAACCTTGGAGGAGGGGCGATACAGACTATAACTTTAATCATATCAGCTTCTTGTCTTAACCACATCTTGCTTTGACTGAACTACTCTGATCCTAAGGACTCCTGACTGTTGATATCACAGCTTAAAGGCTTTCTTCAGACTCCGGGAGAGAAAGTGGTGGGACACTCTGTAAAGTGATTCAGTTCCAAAGTATATATATCATCCCAGGTGATCATAGAGCTTAAATAAAGTTGCTTCAAACTAGCATGAAATTTTGTCTAATACACAGTCCCCAAAAGAACCTCTTTAGAAAGAGGATGAAAACATTTAAACATGGATGTTAAGTTCCTATTAAAACACTCATTTATTTTAAGAAATTCGCTAGTTATGTTTTAAAAATTGATAATTAAATTACAGTTGCTGAGCATTTTCCTTTGACTTGGTATTTTGAAATGCTTGTGTTCTGTCTAAATGCTAGATTCTTAGCATTTGGCTAAGGTATACGCATCAAAATGGCCACAGTAAAGGAAGTGACATTAGTAATTCTGGGCTAGGAAGCACTGTTTCTCTTACCGAAATCTCTCGCAACTGTAATCCAGCCAGGTAAAGATAGCTTTGTGTTTGCTGACATTTTCAGAGTTGATTGGGCAAAAAAGGTGCAATCATTTTCCTAAGTTTTTCCTCGTCATCTTTACCCTCTCCCCACCACCCCCTGCCGTTATTTTCAAAAGGCTTAATCTAAATTCTAAAGGAATGTTCTAAGAGAGCGAGGAAAAAAATATTCAACACTAAACTGCAGCAATAGCCTTGACAGTTCAGTTCTGCTGCAGGTGTCCTGGTTTAACTCCCACATGGACAAAGGGGATACAAATTGTTGGGTTACTACACAATATCCTCTTGTTAACATCGTGTTGTCCTCTTTTGGAAGAATCAGACACCAGGAAAGGATCTCAATTTCAACCCTTTGTCTTTTACTTAAAGAATCTACCAAATCAGTCTAGAATGATAAGAATGAAATGTGTTTTAAAAAGCTCAGAGGAGTCTACCTTATATCTAACCTCAGTCCTTTCTGTTTTTTTTTTTTTTCCAGAGCAGAAAAGACCCACTGTTGGAGAGGGGTTCATCTGTCACTTGAGGGGCAGCAGCAATTTATCAGTTCCTGTGCCAGATGTTTACATAATATCAAGTCTTCACAACAGTCCTACAGAGGCCCTATTTCACTCCAGGCAAAACCAAGGCTCAGAGGCTTAGGAACTGCCCAAGGTCAGATAGTTAGTAGACGCAATGAGAATTATAAGAGTAATCCTTTATGTCACAAGGGAATTCCAGAATTCCTGTAATGTTATTTTAAGTGGAATGTGTGAAATGCCAGTAAATAAACAACAACAATTCTGGTGTTAAATTGAAGAAACAAAAGAATCTTTAAGAACAATGTAGTTAAGAGACTCAAACTAGAAAGAATTTACCATCCTTTCTGAATGTTGCTCCAACTTATAGTCTAATATAAAAACTCATAAGAAATGAGTAGTAGAGATGCTTAAATTCTCTATCTAGTCTACAATACCATGCATCTAGAAACGACACAATTTGATTTTTAAAATCTTCAAGGCTTCATAATTAAGAGACCATAATTAAAATTAGAATACTCAAATAAGTTTATTAATTGTCAGTCTTTTCTCTATATCCTGCCTTCAGAATTATACGATTTTATTTAACCATTTGCAGGATTCCTTTCATCTCAGGAGAGTATAATCATATAATCAGACTCATCACCACTGTTCCCTTTTAATTGTAAATCATGACTGCGCTTGCAAATTAGTCTATTATCACAGCAGATTATCAATTTGGTAGGGAAAGTATTTGCCATCTAGAATGAAAGTAGTTAATAAACATTAATAAACATCTTAAATCAATCACTCCTTTACTCTTGGTGTGCCGACAGATGTCATTTGAGATTAATAAATCAGTCAGAACAAATAAAGTGATGAGGAAGCGAAGCACAAGGAAGCCTCTCGATGCCCTGTGTACTTAAGAATCACAATGCCTAAAAACTAATTGGAAGATAAAGATAAGGCATTAAACCTTCAGAGAAATGACTTGTTGGAAATTAGACAAAGTAAATCCAGATAGCCATTCTCTGTGGGTCTGTTATGAACCACTGGCAATAAAAGCTAGAGGAGAAACAAAATGCTCAGTCAGAATAAATTATGTTTATTGACAGCATAATGTAGAGGTTAAAAGCATGGACTTTCTTTTTTCTTTTTCTTTTTTTTTTTTTTTTTGAGACGGAGTTTAGCTCTTGTTGCCCAGGCTGGAGTGTGCAATGGCTTGATCTCGGCTCACTGCAACCTCTGCCTCCCAGGTTCAAGCGATTCTTCTGCCTGACCCTCCTGAGTAGCTGGGATTACAGGCAAAGGCCACCATGCCCAGCTAATTTTGTATTTTTAGTACGGATGGGGTTTCTCTATGTTGGTCAGGCTGGTCTCGAACTCCCGACCTCAAATGATCTGCTCGCCTCAGCCTCCCAAAGTGCTGGGACTACAGGCGTGAGCCACCGCACCTGGCCAAAAGCATGGACTTTCTAATTGGCCTGCTTGGGTTTGAATCCAGGGCCCACAACTTCCGTTTCAGTGACTTAACTATTTCTTAATTTTGCTGTGCCTCAATATCCTTATGGGTAAAATGGGAGAGTAAAGTACCTATCTCATAAAGTTGTTGTAAGGATTAAATGAATCAATATTTTGTTAAGAGTTTAAAACAGCACCTGGCATATAACAAGCACTGAGTGATTGTTCAATAACTAAATGATATAATTGGCCATTTACTACCATTTTATGTGCTCTAGTTCTTTCTCTGCACAGGCTTTTATGAGGGAGAATTGGGGTTGTGAAGTAATCCCACAATATTTTAATCACTTCCTCACTATAAGCCAAGAGTTGAATTAATTCATTTTGTAAAAATAATTAAAATTTAATTAATTCTATTAAAAAGAAAAAAACACAAATTTTTCATTTAAAAATAAGATTACTGAGGCAAAATGTTAACAGTACAAATAGACTGTTGTTGTATAGTCCAGTCATTAATTAAAGGCATCCAGATATCAATACCTTGTGTATTAACACAAGACTTTTGTATAAAGATGTTTACCAGAAGCCCATCAGGAGTGTTCCACTTTTAGTTATGGCACAAAACGTTATCCACTAGCATCATCAACAACTCCTCTATATCTCACCTAGGACTAGTCCCAAGAAAAAGAATGAGTAGGGAAACCAAATACATTATTTGCATATTTAACAGCATGTCCAATTAGCCACTTTGCTGACAGAGACTAATTTATTATTCATCTTATTCCAGCATATGTTACTACTTTGACATCCACGTGACAAATGACTGATACAGCACATTGTGATTTTGAAAATGTTAACTGTGGACTTCAAGAAAATGTAGCTTAGACTATTGAGGAAAGTTTCTCTGCTTCACCTTCAGAAATATGGAATCTAGAAAATGATCAATTTTTCTACTATGTAGGCACAAATGGTCCAATATGACATAATTTTCAGAAATGAGTATGAAATAAAAGGAAATAAGCTATCAAATGGTGCCCTGAAAACCAAATAGAAGGTTCAATCTCTACGTACATCCTCTAGGCAAAAATTCTCAGAGGTATTTAAATTAGACATGTTCCAGTATTATTTCTCTATACTAGATTGTAATATATTTTATAATTGAAAAGGATAACTATACATAAAATGATATAGATGCATAGATAGGAACTAAATCATTCATTCAATTAACAAAGACAGAATCTTGAAAAATTTGAAAGCCAAGTTCCTCAGAAAAACCACATACTTCTTTCAAATGTGCTTGGATAGTTTTATATTAGAAAGAGAAAAAAAAAAAAAAGATAAAACAATGTGTTGCTGCATGCCCCTTCAAAATGTGCTCATCGGTTACTGTGAGAGTACTGTGTCACGGGGCTACCACACTTTTCCTGAATGTATTTTTTAGAACAGCATCACAGTCAACTCCTAGTGAAGTACTTTATGCTCTGTAACTATCCACACTTTAGATTTTTCAGTCTTAACATAAAATTAAAAATTTCAGAATCTAAAATTATCTGTTTTAAGTAGCATTAAAAATACCACTTCTCTTTAAGCAGCTCTGAAACCTGAAGTCATCTAGAAAAATATGCCATGATGACCAAATGGTAACTAATTGCCAAGACAGACTAAACCACATAAATAATTACATGTACCATCGTTAGTCCAATGGCAACCCAGATAATCAAAAAAACCATGATTATCATGGCATCATGGCAGAAGTGTTGTCCAAATAAGTAAATTTCACTGCCTTGTATTTTACCACATATTAAAAAGCACTCTTTTACAATCTGTTAATTTTTTTTCTTTCTTTATAGTTGCTGATTTTCAGAGATATATCATAATGCTTTTACCAATTTTAATTATTTGACAAACAAGTCACCAAATATATACAGGAACATTTAAAAGTTCACAACCTTGGTTTAAAAAATGTAGGTCACATTATGCAATACATTTAAACTGGGGATCTCAGAGCCCAAAGGGTTCTATATTCTGAATTTCACAACAAAAATGACTACAAGATTCAAAGAAAGTTCATAGAAAACAACATATACATAACCACATACCTTGAAAATACACTGGAGAAACACCTTTCTATACTGCCTCAGTTAAAATTCACAAATCTCACCGATATTAAGTTCCCACAATTAATGCAGCAGGTTCTTCTTATCTACTTGTATATTTAGTGATTAAAAGGAAGTCTGTACAGGAATCATCATCTTCTAGTGTTAAAGCTTTTTAGTATAGTGGTTACTATTTAATAAATAACATTCCTTATCACTACCTGAGCATAACCCTTCAAGTCAAATTTGAGAACAGTCCTCATTTATTAATCCATCTCCATCTTCCTACTTACTGACTAAGTACCACAAGGTAATATTAGATAAAATTCCTTCCACTGAAATGCAGACATAAATTTCACATCTATATTGACTTGAAATTCTTAATAACTATGAGTTAGCTACTCTTTTGTGGCTAATTTTATTGTTAATGAAGAACATTTTTTGAGACATGAATTGGAAAGTACCAATGCTGGGACAAATTTCAGGTCTTCTAATTTAAATCCAGTGGGTTTTGTTTGTTAGTCTTTTCCAAAACCCTGCCTTTTATATTGTCATGGAAAAGCAAATGTACAGTGGCTATATATTAATTAGGTGAACCTGACATAATCATCACCTCTTTAAATTTGTTTCCTTGTCAGCAAAATGATGATCATAAGCCCTGCCGTGGTTGTGATGATGATTAAATGAGACACTTTATATGAAGGCACTGTGGAAATATATACTTAAAAGATAGCTGTTTTCACTCAGTTCTGTCAAAAGCTTGAGGGAATGCATTGTTATGTGATCAACACTGAACAATCTTGTATTTTGTGAGAGAATGGAATATTTTAAAAGGCCATTACAAGCTTCTATGTGGAGAGATATTCTACACCCTACATAGACCAGAAAGGGCTGGGCAAAAAGACCAAATGAAAGAAGCGGGTGCTTTTCTAAGAGGAAATCCTTGAGACCTCAGTTGCGAGACAAGTACTAGGCCAAATGCACCTTGAGCCTGACCACCACGCCATGGCTCCTGTGCACCTAAGTAAGCCACTCCCAGAATAATCATGAGGACAATTAGATGGCTTAAGGGACCTGAATATAATCTTTGCAAAAATATCTCCAGTTACAATATGTTTAGAATCAATACGTCCCTGGGAAAAGACAACAAGACCATGAGGATTTTAAGAAATCCTTATGATCAAAGGAAACTTAGAATTGGAAATGATCTTAGAGGTCTGCTAGTCCAATTTAAAAAAAAGAGAGAGAGAAACAGAGAAAAACGAAACAAGAATATGAATGACAAAACAGTATAAAAAGTCATGCTCATTATTATTGAGATTGTTAACATCTCAAAACATAAATTGTGTTTTTTTCTTTAAAAGAGGCACACACTGTAGCATAAATGAGTCATCGAGGGCTGACTGTGGTGATGGTCAACAGTAAAGGAAAGCTGGTTTTCTCTGTATGAACCAAGTTTGGTTGCTCTATTCTCTTCTCAAAGACCAAGCCTCTAATCCCAGTTAATTGTCTAAAAAGGACTGCTTTTGGTCATACAGTATACAGGTGAGAGTGTAGATGAATTAGTGCAGGCTTTCCCTTCTATTGGAGTACAGGCTTTATGGAAGAGTATTCCATAGGAGGAGGAAGATGAGTTAGAAGATATGGGTCCTGCCTCCATCTCTGCTGCTGATTTGCTGTGACCCTATGAGTGTAGTTCACTTAAATTATTTAGATCTCTGTTGTCACATCTGTAAAATGAAAGGAATATACTCCTCAAACTTTAGAACTGAAAGAAATGATGTTCAAAGTGGTAACTGAATTCCATAAGTCACTGAGTTAATAACTGGCTGAACTGGGACAGGAACTCAGGTCTTCTGATTTTAAGGTCTAGATTTCCCCTACATGTGCTCTAAAGTCTCTTTTAAGTATTTCTTAAAAAAAAAAAAAAATCATTGGGAACCTACTATAGTCTGGGCACTTTTCAAATTCATGGTCTCATTTATTCTTCACTTATTGTATTTTCATTTTATAAATGGAGAAAACATTCTTAGTAAAGATAAGCAGCTTCGTACATTTACACAGTGCTAGTAAATGGCAATGGCCAAATTTTTACACAGATATGTTTCTGAGAAGTATTTAGTCAGACCAGTCTGCATTAATTATTCATTATTAGTGTAAATTTAAATCACTGAATTCCTATCTTAACTACATTTACAAAACAAGACTTATATCTGTTCGAAAAGTAGAAATTGTTATGTTTTGTTAGAAAAAATATATGCAGCAACTTGGTGGAAAACAACTGTATAAAGAGCTCTTTCTAGAACATTAATAATGAAGGGCAATAGAAAGTGGTGTAGATAAAATTTACTATTTTGATGTTTTTATCAGATCATTTCATGGTGAGTCCCAGATGATTGCTACATATACATAAACTTTATGTTTTTTGCATTTATGCTTGGAAACTATGTATTTTTAAGGAAAAAATTGAATTTGCCTCTTTAAGGATTAACTCTTTCCAACAATAGCTTGGATTTTTAGAACTAAGTTGTAAACTTCTTGATGGTTCTGCCTCCGATATCTTGCCTCCTCCAACCTCAACTCTACTCTCATCCTTATTATTCTCTGGTCCTCCATGGTACCTGGTACACAAATACAAACACATGCTCATAGTAGGAATTTATGATATATTTAGTGAATAAATGAATGCATGAATGAACAATCTAAGAAATAAATCTATTAAAGTTTTGGGCAACCAAAAAATTATTCTAAAGTGCCAGGGTTACTTGGATCATCATTGATTCAAAGATTCTTCCAAAAATAGTAGCTGGCCATCTTGTTGAAAACAGCATTTAAGTGATATAACATTTTGTCCAAGAATCCAAAGTAAGGAAAAGGTGTGGAACACCAGTGTCTGTTTCAGCAGAACAGTCATAGCCAAAAACATTCTGGGTCACACATATGAATTCATTACCAGCTAATTAATATTAAACATTAAAGCTAAATATTTCCCCAATGTAGAGAATATTGTCAAAGGTTTTGCTAGCTCTCTTGGTTGCCACACAAAAGAGTAAAGGGATTACTCTATGAAACATTAACCTCCTGCCTCCTGGAAAAACAGAGAAACAAAAACCTCCTCAGCAGAATCAATGAAGTAATCTGCAGGACTCCAGTGAGGTACCAACAGCTTTCTAACAGTGTGCATTATTGTTAAAACATGCTTGAAGCAAAACGCTGGACCATGTATCTTGTAATTATTTCTTAAGAGATCAACCATTAAACGGCATAGAGGACCCTCTTAGTTTAAGTTTAAGTTTAAAAACCTCTGAGCTCATAGAATTGCTCTGGGCTATGGGCCATAGGCCTTGATTCTAATTCCTCTTTGACTCTGATCAGACATCTGGCTCCGTCTTTTGGCCCATTTATGGTATGCCTCAGTATCCCTACAGGAAAATCACATTCAAACTCACTCTGAAACCTACCTATCCTCTTAGAAGTTTGGTATGTGTACTGAAAGTGTCTCAGAAACAGAAACATTATAAATTCAAGATATAATTATTATCCTTATATAACACCATTAAGCAACTTCAATTACAAACCACACTTTTAAAATCTGTTAACACTTCCTTCTGGGAAAGCCCTTTTGCCCTTTAATAGTGTAAGCTAATCATGGCAATATAATTTCCAGAGCTCATATTTGTGGGAGGAGAAAGGATGGCACTGGTGGCTTTCTCCTTCCTTTATCTCCTGAAATTATTGAGAGACTCTAAGCTAATTTTCTAAAGTATGCAGAGGCACTTAGGAAAGCCGGGAGCTGAGATGGGAACCTAAGCATTTCACTGACATCATTCCATGCTCCCCACATATGGCACATCACATAAGCAGTACTGGCTGAGCACACTGGTCTATTCTGGACTCTTGTTGGCGTTAAGTAGCATTCTTAATTACAAGCAGGCTTGCTTTTTGTCATTTACAGTCACACAGTTCTCCCTCTATTTAACTAGAAAAAAAAAACACAATTTTTCTATGGAGGTAGTTTCACCATTTATGTTTTTGAGCCAATGCAAAATATAAAAGGACCCTGCAGTGTTCTCAAAACCTGCTTCTCACAGGCCCTTAAAAAAAATCCTCATCATAATCTCTGCAACTGGGTCAGCTTGCACAAAGATACTCGGGTAGCCATGAGCGCTCTCTGCGCCCTGCAAACCTTGTAAGTGACACCTCATAATAGTGCAAATGAAGCATGGCAAGATGAGAAAATGAAGAAGAATGAACCTGGATAGTCAGCCCAGCAGCTTTCAAAACATAGGGGACTCAATTTTATTCCTTAAACTATACCATAAATGAATTTTTATTTTACACATTCAAGCATATACATGCATTCTCTATTATGAAAGAAAATGTCTTACGATTCACAGAAATTCTAATACAACCAAACAGCCTAGTTCATTTGTTCATCTAGCCAAATAAATTTGCAATAGTCTCAGATTTTGAACTAAACCTCATTTTCACTTGTCTTGACTTTCAGCTATGAATTTATCATATTGTCATTAACGTTTGTGCTTTCCTTTCACCCTCATCTATTAGGCTCAAGGGTTCTTTACTTGTGGGTCCTTTGTCCCAACAACTAGCGAAATATTCAGAGAGCTATTGACCCAACAAATTCAACATCACCTCTTTCTTATTAGGTTTCTCTTTAAGCCATCACCCTGCCTGCCGTGTTCTCAGTCCCTCTGCACTCACACCTCACCCCATTTCTCCATCCCCCACCCTGAGAGGCTTATTTTTTATCCTAATGTTCCTTGATTGTTCTCTATAAAGTTAATATTATTTTCAAAAGAGAGAAAGGATGAAGTATGAGAAATTCACACCTGGCTTTTATTTGGCAGGGGTTGGTTACTGACATGTAAGTTTGCGCCTCTGATTGAAAAAAACAAAGAATCAGAAGAGGAGCAGCCTCTTCCAAAAGAGTAAGCATGAAGGAGAGTGGGCAGAAATCCAAAAATACACAAACACGACCATACAACAGAACCTTCGAAGGAAACAGAAAGTTCTTTGACCCAAAAGAATAATACCAACCACTATACACACAACAATTTTCTCTACTATCCTATTCTTTCTCTTTTTCGATGACAGACACCTCTGATTTTTCATTCACATGCAGAGACAATCACTGTATTCTGGAGGGAAAGAAATGTTTGTAAAGGCCAGCAGACGGCGCCTGACTGGGGCAGAAGCTTGCAGCGGAGAGGAAAAAGGAGTGCCCCACTCTGCGGCAGGGCCCCTTGGTCTTCTCCTCTCCCACGTCCCCAGCAGCCTTATCCCTCTGGAGAGAGGCCGAGACACAGAAAAGGAGAAGTTGCATATGAGATTATTAGCCAAGTGCTTCCCACTGGCACAATTAGGTGTTCCACCTGCTCCATACACCCATCTGCCTCACCACACCCACCTACCCACACTCTGCCCTTCCTGCACCCTGGCTTGCCTCCGTCCCTCAGGACTCACACAATTCTGCACAAAGGCAGGGCAGTGGTTGAGAACTGCACCCAGGTAAAGGGAACAACAAGCTCCTAGAATACTGTGGGCTTGTGGTGAGATCACCAGAAACTCCTTATTCTTTCAGAGAGATCTAATCTCTGTTACTTATAAAAATAATCCCTAGCTTGGGACATCACTCTCGTCTCCATACTAGACACTCTTAACTGGAGAGAATTTCTGGGAGAGAACTAGGAGAAGGAGAAAGGAACAAATTCCTAGAACCCACAGGGATGTGTTTTTTCTAGTATGCTCCCAAAGAGGGCTTGCTAGGGGACTTGGTCTCTCTTCAGTTAGATTATGCTATAGTTTTTCATATCTAACCAGAATTGTCCCCAGGTGGGAAACCCCCACCCCACCCTGCATCCATGGAATAAAGGGCCATCCTGGTAGCACCAGCAGCTGCTCAGGGCAGAGCAAACTCATAAGGAGTGGGGCAAAGGATTCTGAGCTGAAACAAGTCTGAAAGGTGACGGGTCCTGCAAGAAAGAGGTGGAAAATGGATATAAAAAAAGTGCCCACAACTTTCACTCTGCTTTCTAAACAAGTGCATTTTACACCGGGGTAGAATAAAAATTGGGAGTGGGGAACGACTCACAAAAACAGATTGATGTTTTAATTTTTGGCAATTCGGGGAATCTGGAATAGATATTTATCTGAAAATTAGAGGAATCTGGCCTCACAGTGCTGGTCACTCTGGAGGAGAAAGCTGCCAACCAAGGCTTTTCTCTACACTCTGCTGTTTTCAAAGGGACAGGGCATTAGGAGAATAGTTTCCCTTAGCTCTAACTTCTTCTCCAGGCAGACCTCCGGGCTTAGCCCAGCCAGCATTGACTGACTTGCCCTTCCTGGAAAGCATTAATCACTGAAGGAGGAAGTAAGACCTCCCTGGTTCCAATAGCCTTCACACGTGATCCTCCGGGAGATGGGTATGTGTAGTCAAGCCTCTCTCTGTTCCATTTAGAAAAGAACTCAGCCTAATTACCAAGAAAAAGACATATATTTATGTGCAGAGTGGATGGAAGGGGAATGGTGTCCAGAGGTCCCCTCCATGCCTGCGAAGGGCTGGCCCGCATTAAAGGGGATGACTCGGTTGCCCTCCTAGCTTTTCTAATTAAGGGAAGGCGTGGGGGCAAAAGTAATTGGCCTCCTGTTGAGTGAGTCCCAGGACTGCTTCGCTGTCACTGCAGTCTGGGCGCACTTTGGAGGAATGTGCGGGCTGGAATCTCTCCCTCCCCGCCCCCCGGGGCCAGGGAAGATGGGCAGGAGGTGGGGCAGCATATACAGCACAGACAAAAGGTTCTGCAGAGCCCTCTTCTCTCTGGTGCTCAGGTCCCTTAGCTGAGCGCGGCGCCCCATCCGGCCACTGAGTGACCTTCTGGCAACTGACGCCCCCTTCCCGCGGGGCCCAGCCGCGCGACCAGGGCTGGTCCTTTAGTAGGTGTCCACATCTCTCTCCCAGTACCTCGACAAGGAACGCCCCTCCCACCCCTCACCACCAACACCCGCGACGCCTTCCCCCATCCCCTTTCTATTGTCTTCAAAGAGATAAGTGGCTCGCACCAAGCACACCCAAATGCACCTCCCTTTTGTCGAGCTCCCATTTCTCTGAGCCTTAGGAGCCCAGGAGCGAGTGCAGGGTAGAAAGAGGGGAGCGAGGGGATAACCCGCGAGAACTTGGCATCGCAGACCCACCGTGTCCGCCTCGCAAGGATGCCGGTGACCTGTAGATTGCAATAGGCACTGAATGATGCTTGCTGCTGCCATGGAAATGGTGGATGTGGTGCGCTCCCAAACTGGATGCCCCCCACGCCACTCCTAGGAGGCCGCTGAGGGTGAGCGGGACTATCCAAAGCAGGGCCAGGCGCCCCCCTGCGCCGCCGCCGCCGCCGCCGCCGCCGCCGCCCCCGGGCGAGCCCAGCTCGGCGCCGCACCGGAGCATCCTCTGGTACATGGCGGGGCGCCCGCCGAGGGGCAGCCGCCGCGGGAGGCAAAGTTTGGGGCGCGGGGAGAGGAGAGGGCGCAGGGGAGCGGGCGGCGCGGAGTGGGCTGAGGGGCCGGCCGCCTCACCGCGCCAGGGCACCCATCCTCTCCCTCCTTCGGACAGTCTTCTCGGGGTCCTGGAGTCCGCCGTGCCTAGCACCCCAAACAATCCGAAACATAGCCGAGGCGAATGCAGCTGGAGAGGGGCTTGTCCGGAAAGGCAGCCCCGGGAACAGCAAGCGCGGAGCGGGTGGCTGCTCCCAGATTTCCAGGGCTCCAGGTTCTCGAGAGATACTCCCAAAGAGTTTCGGGCGAGAGTGCGTGCCGGCGGGTGGGGGGCCGAGAAATTGTTTAAAGCTCCTCCTGGAAGGTCCTCACTTCTACATGACAGACATCCACCGCGAATCCACTAGGTAAATCCATTTAGCTTTGTGTGCGGGGACTAGGGAGGCCACTTCGCCGGCCCAACCTCCTTTCAAGACAGAAGCAGACCCCATGGAATCCAGGCGCCCCTTCCCTCCATTCAGCCCCGGCCGGCTCGCCCGCTAGCGCCAGCCTCCCCCGGGCAGCGCGCGGAGCAGCGGCGCGCATCGCCTGCTCCCGAGGCAATCTCCGCGTCCGCCGCCTCCTGACACTTACGCCCGGCGAGGGGTTCAGAGGGAAGAGTGCGCCCTTCTGAAGGAAGTGGGAATCGAACGGCGGAAAGGCAGCTGAGAAGAAGATGCAGACGAAGGAGTAAGGGAGAGAAACAGAAAAAGAAAAAGAAAAAGAAAAAAAGAAAAGAAAAACCACACACGCTGGTGAAGCAAGGGGCTCTATGCAAATCTGCAGTCTCCAAACAGCAAATCACTGAAGCTCGGATGCAATGCAGAGGACGAGCCTATGTAACGAGGGAGGCTGGTCTAGCTTCCCACGAAAATCGCCCTGCTTTGCCTCTCCCTTGCATTCTCCACGCATCAAAGGGACACGTGTAAGGCGAAACGGGAACACCTAAAAAGCAACTCTCCCTCCACCAGGTGATCCCTCCATCTGAACTACAATGGCAAATGGCACCCTTCCCCTACCCAATGGTTTAGATGTAACCAGTGTCTTTAGAGATCTTAAAAGGGAGAGAATTCGGGTCTTTTTATTGGACCAAACTTGTTCTACCAGGTGTTTAAACTCAATCTGCTAAATATGGCTTGATACCTTGTACTCAAGCATCAGTCGCGATGATCTGTTAATCACATATGTTACTCATAACAAGGATTCTTCTTCCCATTACCATATTATATCTCATATAAGGCAGTGGAAGTTCAGGGGACCAAAACTCACAAGGAGGGAAAAGGATGCATTAATTTGGCAGCTGCAGAAGAGGCAGAAAGTGGAAGAATGGGAAGAGAGGAAGAGAAGGGTCAGGAGAGAAACAGGAAGAAAGCAGAAAAGAAAGAAATGGCATGAATAAAATTGCTTGTATTTCAGTCAATATTTTAGGAATATTTAAGATCTTCCAAGATCTCTATAGAAGCCCCGCTGTGATGATCTTTGCTAACAGTGGAACTCCTCCTTTCTCTCATCCTGTCTTATAAAGAAAATAGCATCAGGAAATGAAAATTCCTAAATCTAGTGCCCCCAAGGGAAATAGGACATTTATATGCTTTTGATGAAATACAGCATCTTTAACTGAAAGCTGTGTGTCCTAGATGAAAGACCAGCAAAGCCAGCATAAATTTAAGAGTAGAAATCTAGCAATGCAAGTGAACTTGGCTAGGAGGACCACAGGCACTGGATGCTGGTGATTAAGACTTGGGACTATGATTTAAACATTTCCCTGATTTCCAAAAGATGATAAAAAACTATGACATGTCCAGTGGCTGGACTTTTTTTTTTTTGTCTTTATTTCTATTTAAAGCCAAAAGAAAGCAACATTGAACAGGAATGATTTCTCACTAGCTTCTCACCATCTACATAATTGTTATCAACAAATATAAAGTCCAGTATTTTTTAAAAAATGTAATTCTGGGAAGATTTGATTCAAATCAGCTACTAACCCAAGTGGCCATTTAGACTTGTATATTGCTTCCTAGTCCAAAGATTCAACCATGGGACTCTGATGCCCACTATATAAATAGTGTCCAGTGGCCCCCAAATCACACCTGTAGCAATCACACATGTCACATTCCTGTCAAAAGTTTATTTTATGATACTAAAAGATAATTCTTCAGTAGTATATTGATTGAAACAGTTCAGCCTTGCTAAACATGATGCTTTTATCTATTTAAATATGCCGTGTCTCCCAACCTTCCACAGCTGCTCGAAGGCCAGCAGACGCAAAATCTATCATTTTCCACTGTGAACTGTTTCTGCCCTTGCCCCCAGTCATTTCTTACTCATTTTGTTATTTTGCAACATATGTATTTTAATTCACTAACAAGAGTCGTGATTATTCGTTTTAAAAATATCAAGTAGAGCTTCAAAAAGAAAAGGAAAATCATCCACACAGTATGTTTTCAGGACTGCAGGTCCATATTCTGAATTTGACATTTCATAGTGTTAGCATGGAAAGAGCACTGGATTAGGAGTTAGGAAATCCGTACTGCATTTTTGATGCCACCATTTACTGGTTACATCACATTAGTTACTGAGTCTTTCCCTGAGGCACTGTGGCTTCCTTTATAAAATACTCATGTTTCTATCTTTCCTAACAATCCCACAGGGTAGAAAGGATATCATGCAATATTTAATGTTGGTGTTCTTTAAAATATGTCAACTGCTCCCTGACATGAAGGCGTTATGTCTCTTCTCTCATACAGGTCTAACATATTCAAGCTGATCACCATGCACAATACATTCAGTTGCCTTCCATCTAAAAGATACGTAGAACATTGCATTGTTTTCCAATACCCTCATATATTGTGTTAATCTATCCTTTCCTCCCCAAATAAATGGTAGATGCCTGAAGGGGACAAGAGTCAAGTCTTCATTCCTACTTCCTCTAGTGTCCAGCATATGTGAAACATATCTAGTCTCTTAGTACTTACAGTCAGTTCTCATTATTCACAGTAGCTGTGGCAAATAAAGTCCCTGTGAACACTGAATTAGCAAATACTGAACCATTGCTCCCATGGGGAAATACAGGGCTATGTTCCTGCAAACCTCTGATCACATTTTCATCACTGAATCAATCCATTGCCTTGTTTTATGTGTTTCTGAATGATAATGACACCTTCCTTAATACATAATGTTGATTCATCAACATTGAACTCATGACCAGCAGCACTCTAACTCATGCCTAAAAGAAACATATCTAATATGTATTTTCTCCATAAGGCACATCACATCTTTCTTGCATTTAGGAACATTAGACAGCCCTTTAGTATTATGCTTGAGGGCCATTTTAAACAGCAAAGTCACCAACGTAAAACACAAAAACGTGGTGCTAAAAAGACCTAAAATAGCGCACTTGTTTACAGTGTGAGAGCTGAAACAAGAAGGAAGCCAATAGTCTTGTTCAACTTCAGCCAGGAACATGTGCATTGGGAACACAAACGTTTGCCATTCTCTGCGTGTTTGCTAAGGATCATCAAAGTGCCAGGGCTACAAATAAATAACAAGGATCAACTGTATTTGTTATTCTCTTGATTGCTAGGAATGGATAAGGCTGGGACTTTGGAGAGCGATTTGTATAAGGAAAAGCCATAGAAATAGAATAAGCGTAGAAGATTGTGAATAACCTTCCCAAGAGCATTCAATTAGGAAGATGCTTCCCCTCCTCCCTCACTCCCCTGCCTGTCTTATATTGTCTGGGGCCTTGGGAGATAAAGGCAGGGTTAGAGAAAGGATGGGCCAGAAATCTTAGTTTTACAGGAGTCTCAAGAGCTAAAGAGAAAATATTTATGGCTGCCTCAAAAGAAGAAATTGTAGCTGTAGTCTTCCAGGCAGATGTCTAGGGCACCTTTGCAATACTTAGGAGGTTCTAGGGTGTATGCTGTGATACGGATACAGCAATATTTGTTATAAATGATTGTAATTTTGTGGAACAAGGAGCAATTCTCTGTCTAGATAGTGTAGAAAAAGTATTGTGGGCAAAAACATGAGTAATCTGGATGAAGCAAATAAAGCTTGTGTGTACCCATTAATTTGTGTCTCTTCAGCTACTCAGTCTTTGGGCTTGCAATTTTGTTATCTAAGGGAAACTGAGGCAGAATCTCACAAATTGTTCTCAGGTGATTGAAGAACTGGTTGGAGGAAACATGGTTTTTGGCTAACTGTAATGTATTCTAAAAAAATTCAGCACAGACAGTGCGATGTAAGTGTTTCTTAACGCTGTCTGTACCCCAAGAGTGTCAGTGCCTTTATCAGGAATTTATGCCCCAACACCTCAGTCAGAATTACAGCAGACAGAGGTGGCTTCTAGAAGCCTTGTGCTACTATCATCTCTAATTATGATGTGGCTGTGCTCATTAGTTATAATATCTGTTGAAAATAAGTTATCACTGATGAAATTAAGGGCTTGTTAATTGGTCCAACGAAAGTTAGGAGGAAGTTAATCCTTTGTGAAATTATTAATAGGCAAGATGCGTGAATTAACTAAATTTTACCTGAACACGCCTCACTTCTACATAAACAGAGTATGTGACTCTAAGAGGCTTTTCACCCTTTATTATGAGGAATGGTTCCATAATAATAGTAATAATAAAAACTAACACTTATTTCTAGCACACTACTCTGAGTGATTTAAATGAATTAATTCATATAATCATTACAAAATGATATGAGGTAGGTACTATTGTTGATCCCTAACAGTTCTTAGTCACTTAATTCTGAGAGATGGTGAGGTGGGTGCTGTCGTTGAAATACTGTCATATTTGCTTCAGGAAAACCATTTTTGGAAGACATTTTTTTCAGGTACTTAAAAGAATGAAGAGCTGGAACTTCACCAAGCTTCTAGAATAGGCTACAAAATTTTGTGCCTACTCATTAATAAATGTCTAGATCTGTAGCAGAAGTTGGTCTTGGTGTTGAATTCATTATGAGCTGTACTTGTGTGAACTCTTGGAAACGGGGTTCACACTCAGTTGCCGCCAACAACCATGGCTACTGAGATCTACCTAAAAGAACCTAAGGACTGTATGTGCTAAGCTGTCCTAAGCCCACTCACGCCTGATGATTTATCATGAACAAGAATACAGGGAGCCTACGTTGAACAACAGTTAAGAAATGAGACATGGATTTGAAAGTTGAGAGGAAAACACAAAAGAAATAGAAAGAGATGGAAGAGGAGAGTGAGTGGAAGAGGGAGATTCTGGAGAAATGGGAAAGGACAGGCCATTTCAAGTTATTTCTTCATATTACAAAAATCAACCTTTTTGTCTCAAAAAACAGGATGGTTGTCAGGCAGACACTTTCATTCTTTTCATATTTTCCTTAAGCTTAATTGGAAACCCTTAAAGCTCAGTATTAAGCTTTTTAAATAGAAAAGTAGACACTAAAATCAGCAGAGGGGAAATATATTAAAACCCACAGGCAGCACTAATATTTTAAAAATTAAAAATGAGAAGAGTGTCGGTCTTGCATTTTGCATTTCTACCAGTATCCCCATAAAGTAAAGATAAGCAGACCCCACATATCCATCTACCTACTTTTCTGAGTTTGAACTGAGCGTCAGTAAAAAGGGACAGACTCAGAAGAGGGTTTGTTCTGGAGAGCTGTAAAGCTAAACCCCTGATCCTGTTACCCCTCTGGATTATTGCAGGTCCCTAAGAGTAAGATCAGAAAATGAGAGTAAGAGCATTGATAATAATAATAATAATAATAATATTATAATAATAATAATAATAATAATAATAATGCCAGGCTAAAAGCATCTCTGGAGATTTACTGCAATCTTTTTATTATTCAGATGATAAACTTGTGTTACAGAAAAGTCAGGTTTATTTATGAAGTGTTTATTTATCTTGAGGAACACTTTCACCTCCAACCACCGATAGTCCAGTCATAGATATAGATTGGTGAATTCAGTCAACTTAGCTATTACCTAGCACCTCCCCAATGATATAACAAATCAGAGGGAGTGCTGGGGATCAAGATGAGCCAATGCGGTACTCAAGTCACTCAAATTGAATTAAAGCCTAGATGTGCAGTTTGACTTGGAAACGTGACTAGATTTATTCAAGTCAAGATTGGTTGTGTTTAGCTCTGAAATATTCTGTAATCTCTATCTTGTCTTTCATTCGATTTAATAAAAATTTCATGTTTGGTGGCTTGCATACAACTTGGTGCTTAAGTACCAAGTCAGGGTCATAGAGATTTCACTATAACTGCAAGTTCAAGTGTTGCAGGCATCACAGGAGCACCAACCAATAATATGCCATCTTTTAATCACTGTCAGCTTATATAGTTTGTAGAATTGTTTCAACCGATTTCTGTTGGTGACAAACACTTCCTAGGCTCATGCTCTTTCAGTTTCAATGTGTTCATAATGTAGCGTGACAACATGAGACTGGAGTGCCTGACTGTGAGTATGAATCCAAGCTTCATTGTTTTTATTCATGTGACATTGAGTTTAAGGGCCCCTTGTCCCAGTTTCCTCATCTGGAAAATGATTATAACGCTAAATGTAATGAAATTGGAACCATTTCTAAAATCTATTAAACACACAATAAATATGTTATTATTCTTTATTCATGTGTACTTAGTTTAGCTTATTTATTCTTTATTCATAGGTACTTTATGCCAAAGACATAAAGATAATGAGCTGCGATGTGGTTTTTAATTTGGCCATATTCTAAAGTCTTCCCACTCAGTCTATAGTCAAGCTCAGCCACTTCTTAATTTATTACCATAGCCTCTGTTTCTCTAAATCTGTGTTGCTCAAACTTTAGTGTGCATAGAACATACACTAGAGGGGCTAGAAGGGCTGTTAAATCACAGATTGCTTTGCTTTTGATTTCCTTAATCTTTGGAGGACCCTGATAATTTGCATTTCTAACAAGCTCCCAGGTGATGCTGAAGCTGCTAGTCCAGGGGAATGCCAAGGTCCTTATTTCAGGTTTTATTAACTAACACATGGAGAGCTTTCTCATTAAGCTCCTTACCAATGATCTCACCTCCCGTTAGTTGATCCAATATAACTACAGGCAGATCAGTGTTCCCTAAGCATAGATCATAGTGCTGTTCCCAGTTCTCTTCTTTAAAGCATTCTTTAAAAACTTCAAGATGTCTATTATATAAACCTATTTGTTCTCATCTCACACCATGTAACTATAAATTCTCTTTACTACAGTTAGAAAAAAATATTCTATTTTCCTTCTCATCTTTTGTATTTGAGCTCTTTTATTTGTTGCCTTACCAGTGGCTATGAGCAGGAACTCAGACACTACACTAGGGTTCAATTCTTGCTTCTACAAACTTGCTAGCTATGTGGCCTTGGGCAGGTTATTTAAGCTCAGTTTTCCCATCTGTAAAAAAGGTTAATTGTAGGGTTGTTGTGAGGATTAAATGAGTCGACAAATTTAAAGCATTTAAAATACAATAGTGCCTAGAGTATATGTGTGTGTATCTATATATACACTACCTTAGCGTCTAGAGTGCATACATATATATATATATATATATATATATATATATACACACACACACTAGCTTTTTGCTGTTGTTTTCTGAAATGGGTTTTTTTTCCCCTTGTTTTATGGTAGGGAGAAAATAAATCAGAATTTATGATAATATTGTTACATATAATTCCTAATACTGGTCATCCAAATAGTCACCATAACAAAACTAAACTAAACAAGAACAAAAATTAAAAAGTCCCTTCCAGGTCTGGGCATATTAGGCCTCCAGTCCAACCAGCATCAGCTAGAGAAAAGATCAATGCCATGAACTGGCAACCTGGGATCTGTGTGCCTGAATTCCAAGACACTGTCTGTCATACACATCTACCACTGCAGAAAGAAGCATGAGATTGTTGAGAACAACTAGAAGTGGAAGGACAACTCTAAGGCAATTTAGGGTAATATTAAGACTAAAGCATAATTTCCAAATTCTTTGGTAAACACAGATACTCAAACCAGGAACCAGAAATCATGTACCATATGTTTAATTTCCTGAATGTCCAAGGACTCAGAGCATAAAACAATTTGATTTATCTTTGTGAATATATGTTGTAGAGCATATACTACAATTTGAATGCACTGAGAGGAACTTAATCATGCGATTCAAATTGAGTCTCTATCTGGGATCTATAATCTAATCCCCACCCAATTCAGAAATTCAGGATATATAAATTATATATATATACATATATATACACATATATACAATATTTATATATACATATATATATATTTGTTAGGTTACACATTTTGTCAGAGATATTCTGATGTCAATACTATAGATAAGTTGGTATGACTATTCTACTATCAAGACCTTTTTACCAGGTAAAATTAAAATTCTGTAGCATGTTATATTAAGCCCTTTAAAATGTGCCTCCATGCCTCTTGTTTTACCTCCATTTCAACTTCTGCCACTTTCCCCACAAACACCCCAGGCTCCAGCCACATGAATTTCTCACTCTTCCATAAAACACACTGCACACTTTTTGTTGTTGTTGTTTTTACTTTGACATATCCCATGCTATTCTCTCTGTAAAACTATCTTTTCTACTTCCTTCGTCTCTTAGTATTGCATTAATTGTTCTATCAAATGTTAATATATATTTCCCCATTGGAAAAATTTCTGAACTCTGTCATTTTTTTGCTACCTTCTCAAGTGTAGAATATTACAAATACCTAAAAAAAGAGTGAGGATATGTAACAGTGTATTCACATTACTATTGTGCAGAATAAATGATGATCAAAGCAACTGGTTAAGTCTATCACCATGTTTAGTGGTTAAAATCACCAAAGCCAACAGAGAAATGAAACAAATCCTCTTCAACTTACCCTTATAGGTTTATTGGTGAGTTATTTTTATTATCTAAAATATATAAGAAGTTTAGGCTTAATTTTAATTTGAATGCTAAGTAAGCTGGTTATAAAGAATGATGGAATTCATTGTCATATTTTCCTACTCATGTTATAAACAGATGTCTTTCTTTTCCATACTTCAAAAAAAAAAAGAAAGTACTGCCAAGCTAAGATGCTTGCTGCCAAGTTGAATTACAGAACAAACATTTATAGCCAACTTATAAATTCTTAACTGTAGGGTTTTATAATGGAAATACTGTCACCATTTTCACTATAACCATTCAAATAATATTACTATAGCAAAACTTATCATCTAATATTTTTTTCTGGGATGGATGAGGGAAGACTAGCTATAAGAGTTGGAAAAACTTCTAGTAGCTCAATTCAAATTGCACAATTATTCCAATAGTTCAAGTCTCTTAGAATATTGATTTTAAAGTAAGAAGTATATGCTCCAAAACATTTATTCTTAAAAGATAGGAAATTTTTTGATACCTGTATAAGAAATATATGACCTCTGAGGCATTTTGAAAAATTATTAATCAATGTTGCTTTTCTAAAACTGTCTTATTTTCCTTTTGTAAAAGAATTACTTTCCCTCACATTTTCTCTGTTCTATTGCTGAGATGATTCCCCCGGAGAACTGTGTGTTTATCTTGACAGGTGTTAGTAGATCCAAAGACCTCTGTGGAATTGTTCCTGGTTGCGTTCAAGTACAGTAGAAAACATTATGCCTGCAAAGCAATGAACTTACCTTATTGCCTTCTAAATAAAATAAACCACACAGCAAGTGGAATTAATCTACTAATGTCTTCCTAATGAAGCTTTCATTAGACATATGGTGTGGTCTTCAATATTTAACACGACAGGTATTAAAACAAAGCATATCTGATGATTTTTTTAAAGCATACTTGATGACTGCCTCTTACGTTATTTTTAAATGAACTAGTTTACCTTCAGATTGCTTTAGGCACCTAATCAAAGAGATACAAGAAAATATCTAGACTTAAGATTTTTTTTTAATCAAATAGAAGAAACAAATGCCTCACTACCAATGCCCTTAAATGATGAAAACTGGGCCAGGTGCTCAGGCCTGAAATCTTAGCACTTTGGAAGGCGAAGACAGAAGGATCACTGGAGACTACCAGTTTGAGACCAGCTTGAGCAACATAAGGAGACCCCATCTCTACAAAAAATTTAAAAAAATTTTGTAGAGGCATGGTGGTATATATCTGTGGTGCTAGCTAACATAGGAGGATCACTTTAACCCAGTTCAAGGCAGCAGTGAGTAATGATAAGGCCACTGTGCTCCAGCCTGGGTGACAGAGAGATCCCATCTCTACATAAACAAATAAATAATACATTTATTTATTTATTTATTTTTTTTTTTATTTATTATTTTGAGACAAAGTTTCACTCTTGTTGCCCAGGATGGAGTGCAATGGGGCAATCTCAGCTCACCACAACCTCTGCCTCCTGGGTTCAGACGATTCTCCTGCCTCAGCCTCCTGAGTAGCTGGGATTACAAGCATGTGCCACCATGCCCGGCTAATTTTGTATTTTTAGTAGAGATGGGGTTTCTCCATGTTAGTCAGGCTGATCTCGAACTCCCAACCTCAGGTGATCCACTCACCTCGGCCTCCCAAAGTGCTGGGATTACAGGCATGAGCTACCGCGCCCAGGCATATTTTTATTTATTTATGTGCTATTCTCATATTGAAGGGAGAGGCAAATTTCCGATTTTCTGTGCAGTGTAAAATTTCATGCATTAATAAAATTTATAAGGCAAATATTAAGAATGAAATTGTTTTAGCCCAATTCACAGTGGTTTGCTTCAGAAGTAGCAAACACTGGATTCCCAGGCAAGATGGCCAAATAGGAACAGCTCTGGTCTGCAGCTCCTAGCAAGACCAATTCAGAAGGCAGGTGATTTCTGCATTTTCAACTAAGGTACCTGGTTCATCTCACTGGGACTGGTTAGACAGTGGGTGCAGCCCACGGAGAGCGAGCCAAAGCAGGGTGGGGCGTCACATGACCCAGGAAGCACAAGGAGATGGGGAACTCCCTCTCCTAGCCAAGGGAAGCCGGTGAGGGACTGTGCCATGAGGGATGGTGCTATCCAGCCCACGCACTAGGCTTTTCCCATGGTCTTCACCACCGACAGACCAGGAGATTCCCTCTGGTGCCTACACCACAAGGGACCTGGGTTTCAAGCACAAAACTAGGTGGCTGCTTGGGCAGACACCAAGCTAGCTGCAGGAGTTTTTCTTTCTACCCCAGTAGTGCCTCGAACGTCAGCGAGACAGAACCATTCACTCCCCTGGAAAGGGGGATGAAGCCAGGAAGCCAAGTGGTCTTGCTCAGCGAATCCCACCCCCCTGGAGTCCAGCAAGCTAAGATCCACTGGCTTGAAATTCTTGCTGCCAGCACAGCAGCCTGAAGTCGACCTGGGATGCTCAAGCTTGGTGTGGGGAGGGACGTCCACCATTACTGAGGCTTGAGTAGGTGGTTTTCCCCTCACAATGTAAACAAAGCTCGTGGGAAGTTTGGACTGGGCAGAGCCCACCACAGCACCACAAAGCCGCTATAGCCAGACTGCCTCTCTAGATTCCTGCCCTCTGGGCAGGACATCTCTGAAAAAAAGACAGCAGCCCCAGTCAGGAACTTATAGATAAAACTCCCATCTCCCTGGGATAGAACACATGGGGGAAGGAGCGGCTGTTGGCACAGCTTCAGCCAACTTACCCACTCCTGCCTGCTGGCTCTGAAAAGAGCAGCAGATCTTGCAGCACATCGCTGGAGCTCTGCTAAGGGACAGACTGCCTTCTCAAGTGGGTCCCTGATCCCCATGTCTCCTGATGGGGAGACACCTCCCAGCATGGGTTAACAGACAACTCATACAGGAGAGCTCCAGCTGGCATCTGGCAGGTGTCCCACTGGGACGAAGCTTCCAGAGGTGGAAGCAAGCAGCAACCTTTACTGTTCCACAGCCTCCACTGGTGATACCCAGGCAAACAGGGTCTGGAGCGGACCCCCCAGCAAACTCCAGCAGAACTGCAGAAGACTGTTAGAAGGAAAAGTAACAGAAAGGAAAACAAACAGCAGGAAAACTAACAAACAGAAAGCAATAGCATCAACATCAACAGAAAGAACGACCACGCAAAAACTCCATCTGAAGTTTACCAACAGCAAAGACCAAAGGTAGACAAATCCACAAAGATGAAGAAAAACCAGTGCAAAGAGGCTGAGAATTTCAAAAACCAGAATTCCTCTTCTCCTTCAAAGGACCACAGCCCCCTGCAAGCAAGGGAACAAAACTGGACGGCGAATGAGTTTGACGAATTGACAGAAGTAGGCTTCAGAAGGTGGGTAATAACAGACTCCTCTGAGCTAAAGGAGCATGTTCTAACCCAATGCAAGGAAGCTAAGAACCTTGAAAAAAAGGTAGACAAATTGCTAATTAGAATAACCAGTTTAGAGAAGAACATAAATGACCTGATGGAGCTGAAACACAGAGCACGAGAACTTCGTGAAGCACACACAAGTATCAATAGCCGAACTATCAAGCAGAAGAAGGGATATCAGAGATTGACAATCAACTTAACAAAATAAAGCATGGAGACAAGATTAGAGAAAAAAGAATGAAAAGGAACGAACAAAGCCTCCAAGATATATGGGATTATATGAAAAGACCAAACCTACATTTGATTGGTCTACCTGAAAGTGAAGGGGATAATGGAACCAAGTTGGAAAACACACTTCAGGATATTATCCAGGAGAACTTGCCCAACCCGCAAGACAGGCCCACATTCAGATTCAGGAAATACAGAGAACACCACAAAGATACTCCTCAAGAAGAGCAACCCCAAAACACATAATCATCAGATTCACCAAGGTTGAAATGAAGGAAAAAATGTCAAGGGCACGCAGAGAGAAAGGTTGGGCTACCCACAAATGGAAGCCCATCACACTAACAGCAGCTCTCTCTGCAGAAACCCTCCAAGCCAGAAGAGAGTGGGGATCAATATTCAACATTCTTAAAGAAAAGAATTTTCAACCCAGAATTTCATATTCAGCCAAAATAAGCTTCATAAGTGAAGGAGAAATAAAATCCTTTACAGACAAGCAAATGCTGAGGGATTTTGTCACCACCAGGCCTGCCTTACAAGAGCTCCTGAAGGAAGCACTAAATATGGAAAGGAAAAACCAGTTACCAGTCACTGTAATGTGAAAGACCAATGTGTGTAAAGACCATTGGCACTATGAAGAAACTGCATCAACTAATGGGCAAAGTAACCAACTAGCATCATAATGACAGGATCATTTCAAACATAACAATATTAACCTTAAATGTAAATGGGCCAAATGCCCAAATCGAAAGGCAAGACTGGCAAATTGGATAGAGTCAAGACCAATCGGTGTGCTGTATTCAGGAGACCCATCTCATATACACAGACACATATAGGCTCAAAATAAAATGATGGAGGAAGATTTACCAAGCAAATGGAAAGCAAGAAAGCAAGGGTTGCAATCTTAGTCTCTGATAAAACAGACTTTACACCAACACCAACAAACATCAGAAAAGAGAAAGAGGGGCATTACGTAATGGTAAAGGAATCAATGCAACAAGAACAGCTAACTATCCTAAATATATATGCACCCAATACAAGAGCACCCAGATTTATAAAGCAAGTTCTTAGAGACCTACAAAGAGACTTAGACTCCCACACAATAATAATGGGAGACTTTAACACCACACTGTCAATATTATACAGATCAATGAGACAGAAAATTAACAAGGATATTCAGGACTTGAACTCAGCTCTGGAACAAGCAGACCTAATCGACATCTCCAGAACTCTCCACCCCAAATCAACAGAATATACATTCTTCTCAGCACCACATTGCCCTTATTCTAAAATTTACCACATAATTGGAAGTAAAACACTCCTCGGCAAATGCAAAAGAACAGAAATCATAACAAACAGTCTCTCAGACCACCGTACAATCAAATTAGAACTCAGCATTAAGAAACTCACTCAAAACCGCACAACTACACGGAAACTGAACAACCTGCTCCTGAATGACTACTGAGTAAATAACGAAACGAAGGCAGAAATAAAGATGTTCTTTGAAACCAGTGAGAACAAAGACACAGCGTACCAGCATCTCTAGGACACAGCTAAAGCAGTGTTTACAGGGAAATTTATAGCACATAATGCCCACAGGAGAAAGCAGGAAAGATCTAAAATCAACACCCTAACATCACAATTAAAAGAACTAAAGAAGCAAGGTCAAACAAATTCAAAAGCTAGCAGAAGACAAGAAATAACTAAGATCAGAGCAGAACTGAAGGAGATAGAGACACAAAAAAACCTTCAAAAAATCAATGAAAACAGGAGGTGTTTTTTGAAAAGATCAACAAAATAGATAGACCACTAGCCAGACTATATATAAGAAAAGAGAGAAGAATCAAATAGACACAATAAAAAAATGATAAAGGGGATATCACCACTGATCCCACAGATATACAAACTACCATCAAAGAACACTATAAACACCTCTATGCAAATAAACTAGAAAATCTAGAAGAAATGGATACATTCCTGGATATATACACCCTCCGAAGACTAAATCAGGAAGAAGTCGAATCCTTGAAGAGACCAATAACAAGTTCTGAAATTGAGGCAGTAATTTAAAAAAAGCCCAGGACCAGATGGATTCACAGCCTAATTCTACCAGAGGTACAAAGAGGAGCTGGTACCATTCCTTCTGAAACTAATCCTAACAATAGAAAAAGAGGCACTCCTCCCTAACTCATTTTATGAGGCCAGCATCATCCTCATATCAAAACCTGGCAGAGACACAACAGAAAAAGAAAATTTCAGGCCAATATCCCTGATGAACATCGATGCGAAAATCCTCAATAAAATACTGGCAAACTGAATCCAGCAGCACATCAAAAAGCTTATCCACCACGATCAAGTCAGCTTCATCCCTGGGATGCCAGGCTGATTCAGCATACACAAATCAATAAATTTAATCCATCACATAAACAGAACCAAAGACAAAAAACACATGATTATCTCAATAGATGCAGAAAAGGCCTTCAATAAAATTCAACAGCCCTTCATGCTAAAAGCAATCAATAAACTAGGTATTGGTGGAACATATTTCAAGATAATAAGAGCTATTTATGACAAACCCACAACAAATATCATACTGAAGGGGCAAAAGCTGGAAGCATTCCCTTTGAAAACCGGCACAAGACAAGGATGCCCTCTATCACCACTCCTATTCAACATATTATTGGAAGTTCTGGCCAGAAAAATCAGGCAAGAGAAAGAAATAAAGGGTATTCAAATAGGAAATAGGAAGTCAAATTGGCTGTTTGCAGATGACATGATTGTATATTTAGAAAATCCCATTGTCTCAGACCAAAAACTCCTTCAACTGATGAGCAAATTCAACAAAATCTCAGGATACAAAATCAATGTGCAAAAATCACAAGCTTTCCTATATACCAGTAATAGAGAGCCAAATCATGAGCAAACTCCCACTCACTCACAATTGCTGCAAAGAGAATAAAGTACCTATGAATACAACTTACAAGGGATACGAAGGACCTCTTCAAGGAGAACTACAAACCAATGCTCAAGGAAATAAGAGAGGACACAAACAAATGGAAAAACATTCCATGCTCATGGATAGAGAGAATCAATATCGTGAAAATGGCCATACTGCCCAAAGTAATTTATGCATTTAATGTTTTTCCCATCAAGCTACCATTGACTTCCTTTACCAAATTAGAAAAAAGTACTTTAAATTTCATATGGAATAAAAAAGTACCCCGTACAGCCAAGACAATCCTAAGCAAAAAGAATAAAGCTAGAGGCATCACGCTACCTGACTTCAAACTATACAAGGTCACAGTAACCAAAACAGCATGGTACTGGTACCAAAACAGATATATAGACCAATGGAATAGAATAGAGGCCTCAGAAATAACACCACACATCTACAACCATCTTTTCTTTAACAAACCTGATGAAAACAAGCAATGGGGAAAGGATCCCCTATTTAATAAATGGTGTTGGGGGAACTGGCTAGCCATATTCAGAAAACTGAAACTGGACTCCTTCCTTATGCCTTATACAAAAATTAACTTGATATGGATTAAAGATTTAAACGTAAGACCTAAAACCATAAAAACCTTAGAAGAAAACCTAGGCAATAACATTCAAAACATAGGCATGGACAAAGACTGCATGACTAAAACACCAAAAGCAATGGCAACAAAAGCCAAAATTGACAAATGGGTTCTGATTAAACTAAGGAGCTTCTGCACAGCAAAAGAAACTATCATCAAAGTGAACAGGGAACCTAAAGAATGGGAGGAAATTTTTGCAATCTATCCATCTGGCAAAGGGCTAATCTCTAGAATCCACAAGGAACTTAAACAAATTTACAAGAAAAAAACAAACAACCCCATCAAAAGGCGGGCAAAGGATATGAACAGACACTTTTCAAAAGAAGACATTTATGCAGCCAATAAACACATGTAAAAAAGCTCATCATCACTGGTCATTAGAGAAAGGCAATTAAAATCACAATGAGATACCATCTCACGCCAGTTAGAATGGTGATCATTAAAAAGTCAGGAAACAACAGATGCTGGAGAGGATGTGGAGAAAAAGGAAAACTTTTACACTGTTGGTGGGAGTATAAATTAGTTCAACCATTGTGGAAGACAGTGTGGCGATTCCTCATAGATCTAGAACTAGGAATACCATTTGATTCAGCAATCCCATTACTGGGTATATACCCAAAGGATTATAAATCATTCTACTATAAAGACATATGCACATTTATGTTTATTGCAACACTATTCACAATAGCAAAGACTTGCAACCAACCCAAATGCCCGTCAATATTAGACTGGATAAAGAAAATGTGCACATATACACCATGGAATACTATGCAGCCATAAAAAAGAATGAGTTCATGTTCTTTGCAGGGACAGGGATGTAGCTGGAAACCATCATTCTTAGCAAACTAACACAGGAACAGAAAACTAAACACTGCATGTTCTCACTCATAAGTGGGAGTTGAACAATGAGAACACATGGACACAGGGAGGGGAACATCACCCACTGGGGCCTGTTGGGGGTTGGGGAGCAAGGGGAGGGATAGCATTAGGAGAAATACCTAATGTAGATGACAGGTTGATGGGTGCAGCAAACCACCATGGCACATGTTTACCCATGTAACAAACCTGCATGTTCTGCACACGTATCCCAGAACTTAAAGTATAATTTTAAAAAATTAGCAAACACCAGCTTAAATTGCAGTTAAAACTACATAGTTTAATGGCCAGGGGAAAATCAACTGTAAACAAACAAAATCAGTATCTTTTCATAGGCAGCATTTTGATTTAGCATTTGTTGAAAATAAAATTCAAAGCCTCTCACAGAAAACCTGCCTCCTTCAGAAAAATCACCAGTTTTGGAGCATGTGTGATCCCATTCCAGCTAATATTTACAGTAGCATATAAAACAGCTACAAATAAGTCACATCTTCATTGCTACATTATGCCAAATGCTTAATTTCCCATTTTATGTTCCCTTGTCAATTCTCTCCTGCTTCTCTCCTGTATAATCACAGTTGTCCAATTGAGACCTGATGATCTTATCAGTCATGCACTTTTACTATTATTATTTAAATTTGCTCCTTTCAACTATTATTTATTGCCAAGCTTTGCAGAGGGAAGAAAACAGACATGGTAAAAGAAGAGTAAAGGTGGGTCTTTTCTCTTTTGGCAGTAGCAACCAGAAACAGTATGAAAGCAATGGATCATGAAGAAAAGCAATTTCCTACTTGAGGGATTAGATAGTACCCTCTTTTGTACTGTTAAATCAAAGTTTTAGTTATTTTTTCCAAGTAATACTGATTTTTTCAATTTACATAAACAGTCTCTAGGGAAACTGCAAGAGACCCCCAAACACATACCCTCTCAGCCAATCAACAGAAAAGATAAGGAAAATGAAAAAAAGAAAAGAAAAACCAAACTTCCTTTATGTTGTACTGCTTTGAGCAAGGCTTTACACAGCATGGCAAAAATTAAACTGCTACACAAGCAAAAGATAATTAGCTTAACAGGGAAGAATTTGAACTGATACATGAAGCTTTTTTTTTCTTTTTTTCAGTAAAAGTATAGGTGATTTTTATTTTGAAGCAGTTCACTTTTGCTAGCATTAGAAAATTGAAAACTATGTAAATTTCAGCAAATGTTTGCTTTAATGTTTAGGTTCACATTGATATTAACCACAGCTATCAGTTGGTAATAAATTCAGATTTGAGAAAATTTGTAGCAGAAAACTACTCTGAAATGTCATGTGAAAATCCTAATCAATTTTAAATGCATTTACATTCATGGAGGAATAAAACCTACTCTTAAATAATAAAGGAAAATAATAGTACATGTATAAAATGTGAGGAAGGAAAATCATGAGTCTATTTTCACAGTTCATTTGTAAAGGTTTATCACTTATATGACGTATGTTTAAGAAAGTTACAAATTTTCTATAGTGAATTACTTTTATGCCATATAATTAACAACAAAAAGTCTTCATAGCTAAATAATAGGTTTTTGATAAAACCTTATAATTTATTTCAGCTTATTCCTGAGTTGCCCAGTTTTTAATGTCTTAAAATCCATCACACTGTTGACAGATACTTGAGGTAACATTAGGTGATTAGCTGACAAAGTTCTAGCTACTATTTTAATTGCCTTTTTCCCGCTTTGTCAAAATTCTGATGCTATTAAGTCATTGTTGAACTCATCCTATATAGACAGTAAGAACAAACAAATAAGTAAATTAACATAGCAGACATTTCTTGCTTTACATATAACTGGAGTAATGTTTTCTAAATCTGGTGGAACAATCTATTGAATACACTACAAATTCTTTGCAAAAATGAAATAGAATAAGGAACTATGCAGGGAAGCCAAATTAGACGACTGCAGGTCTGTAGCCAAGTGGAATATAATTTGTCCATTACAATAAAATAACCTTAGAAGTAGGTTGAAGTCATTTAGTATGGCTGAAATTTGGAGGGATGAATGTTACTTTCACCCAACATAAATTCCTTAATCCAATAGCAGATAATAAGAATAGGTTAGTTGGGTAAATAAAGTTTGAATCCACTGGGTTTTCTCGGCTGGACACTTTTTTTTTTTTTTTTTACATCCAGAGTTGGATTTGCTGACAGGTTAGAGAATGCAACGTATGTTGAGATTTCCCAGATTAAAAAATATATAAAAATGAAATAATTTGTAATAAGACTCAGATCCAGGACTAAATAATTCAATAGTCTCCTATGAATTACTAGGTAGTATCTATATAGAAACACCAAGATTCATCTTAAAAATCAGTGACTGTTCAGTCGTAATATTTTTGGAGTAGCCCTGTCCTTGGCTCACTAGATGGGGCTATCAACTTAGACAGGCTGTTGTGACAGAGTAATTCTAGTTTAGTATTCAATATCCATTCTGCCTTCTTCCTGGCAAGTAGAACCATTTGAAAGGATGAGGGGGAAGTGCACAGAGTAGCAATATGTCCCACTAAAAATACTTGCTTTCCAAAACATCCTTAGAGTGAGAGTGCCCTTGTGACCCAGTTAATCTTGAAAAAATGTAAATTGAATTTACATAATTAGGACAATATTTTCTTAAAGGTAGGTTTTGGTAGACTGTCTCCCCCACCCCACTATTTTTTGCCATAAAACCTTATTCCTGTTGCTCTCAATGCAGAGTGAATGCCCACGACAATACCAATTCTGAGATCATGAGGTCAAAAATCACACACTAAGGATGGAGAAGAAAGAAGACAGAAGGAGCTTAAATGTTTGAGGTCTCCCTGCAGGAGTTATACCAGCCCTGTGTCACCTACCTTTGGACTTCTTATTCAATTTGAAAACTAAATTATCAGTTTAATCCTATATAAGTCAGGTCTTCAGGTTTTGGAAGCTAAATACACGCCTAATGGATATAACTATTTTCTTGAAAGGATGATTACTTAGATGGGTGAGTACGCCAGCTGAGGCCTCCAGGCGTCTGGGAGAGACATTTATCCTTAAGGAAAGTAGGGAACATATTATTTGCTTTGGGTTTCTCCAGATGCATTTTAGGAAAGTTAAGGTACTTTCTTTAATACAGGAGCCCATTAGAAATAATAACTCAAGGAGAATAAGGCTATCCTCGTCTCTTGAACAGAAGAAAATGTCGTTGAGTAAATAATACTATGGAACTAAAGAAATGCACCTATAGTCCCCTTCTTAAACATGCCATAAAAAAGGAAAAGATATCCATTTCCTGTAGAAGAGAATTAGAGCTTAATGAAGACACACTTTCAACCAGGAGGTATCTGATGTGGGCTTATTAGTAAGAAACACATCTTCCCAGGTAATACAACTACATGTGAGTAAGTGCAGCCTGCCATACATTCTTTCATCCACTTAATTATCAATATATCAAATTATTTATTTATCTAGCAAATATTTATTGAGCACTTACTCTGCAACAGGATCTGTACCAAGCCCTGGACTCATTCAGAAATAAATGATTGGGGGGTTTGGTTCTAAATTGAGGAAACAAGTCTTTGGGCTTACTGCCTCCTCATCCTGAGCTGGGCAGATCCCCATCCTCTCTTGAAGTCCATGAAAGCATATCTACCTTCTGACATGCAGAAATGGCCCTGCAAATGGAATCTAACTGGAGCTGAATGAGTATTCTTGCCTCAGTTAATGTATTTTCATACTTAGCCAGTTCCAAAGCAACAATGTGCACAACTTAGACATGCTTATTGGCCAGGTGCTTACCACCTATTTGGCAAATGCTGTTTATGAAGTTTTTAAGAAACAAATATTGATCCAAAATTTCCCTTGCGTTTAATATTCTGTCATTCTGCAAGGCCAGTATTAAGTTTGATGTACACATACAATTACCTGTCTATCTAAACAGTTTCAACTGCCCTAATTCTTGGGCACCACACCGTGATTAAATGTATACAAGCAACAAGTTCTTGATTTGGGCAGCTAGAAAACCACTGTGGCATAAGATCAATAGTTACACCACTTAGCAAAGACTGTCTTTGTCATTGCTTCCTAGAGTCCTCAAAGGTCCTGATAAATACTTAAATCTAGCTTGTTCTTTCTTTTGTGCACATGTTGTTCATGCAAATGAAATCAAAATTTACCTAGGAAGATTCCAGAGGACCCATACAGGACAGAAGATTGTTTAAATTATGGTAGAGCTCATGAAACACATTTTCAACTGGTGGGATATCCTCCTTATGAGACTCCCAAATTCTTTAGAGCAAGAAACATTAACAAGCATAAATGAAAAAAAAATCCTGTATGAAGAATTGAGAAAATAGCATAAGCACAGTATGAGGAAGACCTAATTCTATAGTTGTTATTACAAAAAACCTGGGGATTTTTACTAAACAAAAATGTAACAGGCAAATTTGATGGACCTTTTAGCAGAAATGTTTGTATGAATTGAATTCTAGTATCCAGATCATGAGAGTAATAATCATTTTTCTGAACTTTGCATAAGACACACACATGAGGTATGTTGGACATGCCATGTGCTCATTTTAAAAGATACTTTGAAAAACAGGTGAGTGACCAGATGGTTATAAGAGCCATATTCAGTCTAAAGTAACAGAGAGTAAAGGAGATAGAATAGACATGCTCAAATCTTTAAGGATTTTCATATAGAAGAGAAGTAGGCTAATTTTTTATTGGCCTTGAAACTATAGGAAAGGCCAACAGGTAGAAATAGGTTAATAAGGAAGCACATATTGATGATACTCAACATACATGAAGTGGAGTTTCCAGAAAGCAAACGAGTGGGGGTTTGGAACTAACCTACATTCCCACAGGGAGTTTTTGGTTTTTCCCCTGCCTAAGATCTTGCCTCTGAACATTTCTTTAGATAAAGAAATTATAGCATTTGTAATAAATAACAAGATGGCTTTAGGTTTAATTGTCAGCCAAGAAAACAGAGTAAATTCACATGTAAGAGTGGAAGGGAAGGAGCAAAACATCGACATTGTGATACATTTGGGTGTACCCTGACTAGGCAAATAACTCATCGCCAAGTACCTTCCCAGGGAGTCAGGTAACCACTAATAAGAAAATAGACTTATGGCTATAATCCTATATATTTTCATTCATATGTCTAGCTCAGAGAAAGAGGTGAGTGGTGAGAAAAATCACAGCAACTGCAGACAAGGGTCTATAAAAGGACATTTAAAATAAACCAAAAAACCCGAATGAATACATTTACTTAATGTGTATTATATATAGCCTATATATTTTTTATTAAACACTTCCACACTTAACACTGTATCTACCAAACTATCAGTTTCAGATTAAGCTTATTAAGTGTACTCTGTTTGATCATAAGTATAAAGAGTTTTCTCAGCAATAATTCTTATTCTTCCATGCCAAATCACATGGATTGATCTTACAGGAAGTTAACAAATCCTATATTTCCAAATAAATAGGCCCAAATAATTTATAATGTGATGGTGTTACTTGTCTTCTATATTCTGGTAGAATCGATGGACAGCTACCTTATGTGCTTTCAATCTGGAAAAGTAGCCAGTTTGTGATGTTCTTTTTGATTTCTGACTATAATTTCCCTCCATAATATTCCCTGTTGTCTGAAACACCTACATATCTGAAGCTAACGGGCATCTTTATAGTAAGTGATGCTGAAATAACTTCTGACCTACAGCTCCAGGAAGAGTGGCTAATCGAAGTAATGATCAGTGTCTCTTCTACCCATTTCTGTGAACTCTGATGCTTTCTGAATGTACGGAGACTGGTCAAGATGTTAATCTCCCAGTGTAGGGCTGGAGGACAGTGGTAGAGAACCACTACATCACCATTGGGAGGAGACTGTAGTGTGAACTAAGCAAATTAGAGAATGTAGAAGAAAGGCCAAAAGGAAAATATAAAATGAATAATGGCCATGGCTAATCGCAAAGGTAAATGTATCTCTTCATAAAAGAAATTTACTCTATTTATTGAAAGCTGACCTCAATTTCTACCTCTTTTCATTGAGACTCCATTATCTACTCCTATACTCTCTTCAGTTGTTTTCTCTGCAATTTTGTTGGCATGATTTTAGTTCCCATGTATTGTTATTCTATCTCTGCATGTACATTGTCCCTCCAACTATATTGCAAATACATTAGGGCAGGGTACATGTTTGATGTTGTTTTGAGTCTCCATTTTGTCAGCAGGTGTTTTTCTTCTTCCCAAAATGCAGCCTGCCAGCCACTTACAACATTTTCCCATAAAGCCATGGTTTAATATTGTACATCACCCTGGACTTAGTGAATTTGTAGGATGTGCTTAGGAATCTGCATTCTTAACAAGAAACTAAGCAACACCGATGCTCACAAATGTTTGCTAGCCTAAGGCCTACCACAGAACAGGTGCTCGTAAATGTCTGGTGCTGCTGTTAGAATGATGCTTTCTGGCATGTCTGTATGTATCTATAAAAAAAACAAAGAGATGTTGATTTGCTCAAGGTGTCCTCTCTCTGCCACTAGCTAGTAAATACCTTGAGGGTTCATGTCCTTTGCAGACAGTTCTCTGTATCTCCTTCTAAATTTTTTTCTATAGCACTAAGTACTTCCTAGAATGTACCATAAATAATTGTTTATGTTAAGGAGTAGAAAGGGAAAGGTGGTGGAAGAGGAACAGAAAAAGAAGATGAATTTATGGTTGGGAGGCATACAAGGGAGGTGTTATTCAGAAAACTCCTTTGCTTTAGCGAACACGAATTCAAAAGTGCTAATGAAGTCTCTTCCTAATCCTTTCTACTTAATTCCTTTGCTCTGCTCTTGCTAAGACTGAAAATTACCCTCCTATGATATTTTTGAGATTACTAAAGACAGTCTTGTGTGAACTGAAGACAGGTCACAAATGACTGGCATACAACAAATATGTCCTTAGTATCTGAGATACTAAGGAACTGCCGGTACCTATTTTTCCTCCTCAAATTCAATCAAAGGAAATCATTTCCATGTCAACATGCACATGCATGATTGTATATATATATGTAAGTATAATTACTTCAAGTGGATAAACTTAGCAATGATCTTTGTCGATTGAGGGCAGTGTTAATGAGCTGTAAAATGGACTCACCCTGGTGCCCAATTGTCTTTTATTACAAAGGGCATTCTTTAACTTCCACTGAGGTCTAACTCCCACACAAACCTTCTGTGCTTTCATTTGATTATTACCAATAGCCAAAAGTCAAAGGTGGAAATTGAGACTTAAGAACATGTTGCTTACACCCAAAGCAACAGGGAAATGAGGCTTTATTGCCTCTCTTCTTTAGGCTTCAATACTATCAATGTTGAGAAAACCCTTGCTCTCCATTTCCATTTGATTATCCTGAGAATATGCCTTGTACTCAAGAATTTCTAACAAAAAATCAAATATTTTATTTTTAGGAACAGAAAGACCTATATACATTAAAGATTGTCTAATCACTACACCTTAATTATGGGGATTATGTGGTCAGTTGAGTTAAGTGATTTATTCAGAGTTGCAAGGTTAATTAAATTATAGACCAGATTTTTATCCTGGGATCTACGAATAAGTTTCAAGGGAAGGATGAACCTTCAAAATTTTATGCAAATTGTGTGTGCACAGCTGTGCATTTTTTTCATCTGTGCATTTTTATGGAAAGTGGATCCACAATTTTATCAGACCCTCAAAATGTCCCTCAACATAGCTGGGACAGTTACTGTTGCAATTTATAAGATATTTTTATATTTATAAAATATAGTAAAATATTAAAGGTCATGTAATCCAAGCTTACAGCCAATAAATGGATTCCTTAAATAATAACTCTGATGGATAGCATGCAAACTCTACCTTGTATCTTAAGATAATTGATAACCAACCACCTCTCATGTTATCATGGTTCAAAGCTTGAATTAAAAAGGTATTCATATAGCTGAATCATATTATTTCTTTCCTATACCTTCTCACATTGGTCTAAGTACTACCCTTTGCAGCCATGAGAAACAAAATCACTGTTGCTTACTCCAATGTCTTTCATACATTTGAAGTAAATTCCTGTTACATTTCTTCTTCGGTCATAAGAGCCAAGATCCCTCAGTATTCTAGTCACCACTCTAGACTCAAACTTAGAGCTGGAAGAAACACATTTCAGTTTGTCAGTATTCTCTAAAATCCATATAACAAAAAACTTAAAAACAATGTTCTACTTGTGATCTGACTTGTTGATGACTATCTCCTTCTGGTGGATGTGTTCTCTCTTTTTGCTGGGGAAATCATGGTATTTTACGGTCTAACTGGGAAGATCAGAGCCTAATGATTTTTATATAGGTTTTCCACCTGAAATGCAACAAAGTAAATAATATGCAGCTGGCCATTCAGACCCAACTCTAGATAATCACATTTCAAACTTTAATAGTCATGAGGTTCACCTAAATAAACACTGGCAATTTCCAAAAGAGAAACATTAAGCACTTTTATTTAGATGAATAATCCAGTACTTTGCCCAGAGGTTGAGTCAGAAACAAAGAACAAAAAACCTCAGATTTATAAAATGAGTACAGCAAAGATGACTTAGAGTATAAAGTTTTTCTATTTCAAATGTCAGAAAAATGCTCACCAGATTTACTTGATTACAAAGTTCCAAAAAACCTTTTATTTTGCAATACTCACTCATATCGCAAACTTTAGTGATGTAGCAACAATTATGCAAATAATTTAAACAAAGTAAATGGACTACATGAAAAATTCAATCCTCATTTCTATATTGATTATTTATACCAGCACTCCCCAAAGACTGTTAGAAGCAACATTGATCCTACCAAATGCTCAGAAAAGATAAAAGGCCAACAACTGAATACACTTCAAAAACACACCTTACCATACCTGCTTCTTGGGACTCCCACTGCAAATGACATATTTTAGTCTCCAAGAACCCCTCTTTTTAATGACATCCATTAGCACTCCACAACACCATTGTTCCTTATAAAAGACATTGAGCATTGCTATACCATGTTGATCTAATTAACCAATTTTCTGCAAATCTCTACTTTACTCTGTGTTTTAACATCTCAACAAGTATGAGTGTAGACTCTTGGGTAATATGATCTCATTCTCCTCTATGAGAGCCTCCTCTGCCTGGTTCCCTGTGAGCCAAACCACACCCCAAGGAGGAGTTAATATAATTACTTAGATTAGGGCATTGACTGTTTTACCTAAAGACCAGGATGTCCATATCAGATTTATTTTATTTTATTTTTTATTATTATTATTATTATTATTATTATTATTATTATTTTGCCTCAGATTGAGGTAGAAGACTCTGAGACTGTGAGATCAGGATAAAAATTGTTGTTGATATTCCTCTTCCACTCCCGGCAGCTGGATCTCTAATTGAACTCTTCTGCTCCCTAGCTCCCATACTCTCACTTGCAGGAAGATATAAGAACAAGAGTGACAAAAATTCAAATTTGCAAAGAAATCTCTCTTAAATTTCAAGGTCATATTGGGTGATTTAATTCAATTTTTATAGAGAGCCCTGAATTTGGAAAGAAAGAAAGAGAGAGAGAAAGAAAGAGAGAGAGAGAAAGAAAAGAAAGAAAGAAAGAAAGAAAGAAAGAAAGAAAGAAAGAAAGAAAGAAAGAAAAGAAAGAAGGAAAGAAAGAAAGAAAGAAAGAGAAAGAAAGACAGACAGACTAGTCACATATTCTGTATTGTTTTCTGAGAATCCTGGGGAGTAGGGGTTACTGAGGATGGTATTAAAATCATTTGCAGGTCTTGGCTTTAATATCATCAAATTAGCCCCAAAGTTATTTGTGATTATTATTTGCTTTTGAGTTCTTGTATTTTAAACGTTATCATTAAAATATTTGCAGGTAGATAAGGAAAAGCTCCAGATTTGCTTCAAAATGATGCAGTTGGAAGGTAGAGATTGAAAGGGTTAGGGTTACACATAAAATGGTAGTTAGAATTGCACGATGGAGGCTGGGTGTGGGCTCACACTTGTAATCTCAGCATTTTGGGAGGCCGAGGTGGGGAGGATCACTTCATCTCAGGACTAGCCTGGGCAATATAGCAAGACCTCGTCTCTATTTCAAAAAGAAGAAAAAAAAATAGCCGGCTGTAGTGGGGGCACACCTGTAGTCCCAGCTACTCCGGAGGCTGAGGCAGGATGATTGCTTGAGTCCAGAAGTTCAAGGCTGTAGTGAGCATGCTATTGTGCTCCAGCATGGAGGACAGAGTGAGACTCTGTCTCAAGAAAATAAATAAATAAATAAATAAATAAATAAATAAATAAATAAATAAAATTGGGTGATGATTTCATTTGGCTTCCTTTTACTTGCCTGTTCTCTTACTTGTGTGTGACTGATAAAATCTGAGATTATAATTAAATAATAAAGCACCAAAATCTCACACAGAACTATCAACCATCATAAATAAACTCATAGACATAAGTGGAAGAGTTGGAAAGTTTTTGCCAAGTGGTCAAGATGTTCACTGCTGTAACTAAGAGCTTCCACTGAAGTTACTATTATCAACCACAGCACTCATAAACACATAGCACTCCTGGGCACATTTTCTATTTATTTAAGTGACTTACCTTATTTGATCAAAAAGAAAATATTAAAATCACCATAAAACTATGTAATTAGTGATTGCATGGTGATCTTTATGTGATGAAATTTTTAACAGTTAATATCTAATATAGAATTAAGAATCCTACACAATATTTTAAAGTTATATTTTCAAATCCATATTTTGTGGATTTCAAATAATTCCAGTTTGAATGCTTGCAACTGCAACAGGTTTCTGTAAAAGCTTTTGAGTTTCACAGCCTTCCTTTTGACAGATTTCTTAAGTTATGGAATGCAGCCATCAGCAGTCTGTAGAAAAATGAAATGCTGCAAGTCTATTTTTATGCAGCTGGGATCAAGTTACTAAATGGATCAAAAGAAATAATTTCTTTGAAGAGGTGGCTGTTGACACCAGTGCCCTAAAAATAAGTGCAATTTTGTGGGCATAAAAATTTGTTTATATCTTAGTGAAAGTAACTATAGATATATTTTCTATATATACACTTGCATTCATGATATATTGGATGCCATTCTAAACATCTTTTAATATACCTTAGTTTAACATTGCTTTTAAGAGGAAAGTTGCATGCTTTCTCTTGAATAATTGATGTAGCTAAAGACAATTATTCATACCAGGCTTAGCTTACTGGGTTTATAATAAAAACAATGATAGTAATTTACCTAACTCTTACTTTGTGCCAAATACCAGCCAAATACTTCCCAACATTATTTCATTTGATTTTAGAATTACATTTTATTTTAATAACTAGCTATTATTTTCACAATTGTATAGATGAAGAAGCTGATTCTTAGAGAGTGTAACTTGCCAAAGATTACACGGCTAGCATGCCTCTGAGTTAAAATTTGAAAGCTAGTCTGTTTAATTCTGAAGCTCTTAATCACTAAATTTTATACTACCTCTTTAGGTTGGATGGCATATCAACTGATTTGAAACTATAGAAAAAAATTAGGAAACAGAATAATCTTTTAAAATATCTTTGTATGTGAAAGTAAGCTTGCTTATAGAAAATGTAGTAAATTGAAAGACTATTACTATTGCAATAGCAATAGTCAAACTGAAGCCTATAGAACTCAAATGCATGTAAGTGTCAAAATAGCCAAGTAATAATGCGATATGATATAATTTTTTATCATAATAAAAAGTCAGAAAACAAAATTCATAAAGAGGGCTCTATGATACAAGAGGAAAGGTTGATCTAAGGGTACAAACTAAAACATTTTAAATAAAGTTTTTGGAAAAAACAATTTTAGGCTCCGAAATAAGAAATAAATACAACCCCTTCACAGATAATAATAAAGAAATAAGCCAATAAGCCCTTAAAATAGAACGATATAGTCTTAGCTCTGGAGGACAAAATATTCTCTACTTGGACCCTGACTCATTTAGAACTCCTGCACATAAATACATATATATATACACACACACACACACACACACATATTGACTATATTGCTGAAGGGGAGAGTAAAGGAAATGGTGAAAGGATCATCATTTTTATTATTTCATTAATTCCTGAAGAAAACACATACACAAATTGCAATTGAAGCTTCTAAAAAACCTAGAAAACAGTATAAAGGACTTAGACACAGTACAAGTATTTCCTACCATGTAAGTCTGAAAGAGAGAAAATCAATTTTTATGAAAACATAAAACAGTGATTTGGGTTGTGAACAAAATTATTTGTCTCCATTTGTGTTCTATTGGCTTACTGCTCTGCCAAATTTTGAAGCAAAATGAAAAAAAAAAAAAAGAGAGGGAAATTATAGCAAACCTCCCAAAACATATCCCTTAAACTCCGCAATGTATTTAAACTACCCAGGTTCTGTTCATGGATATACTCAAACATTGAGAAATTGTGGGTGTACTGGGTTTTGATGCTGTACTTTTTGTAACAACTTGATATTGGAGTCAAAACATGTTTTTCTATCTTGTGTTGCTCAGAAAGGTATGAGCAAATATATTTTTCCCACAAATTTCAATTAATTAAGAATGATTAAAATGTGGATACTTGCAAGGGAAACATTAATAAAAACATGAAGTGTAGACATAGAGATAATTTTCTCTGTGGCGGATGACTGATCATGTCATTAGGCAGAGCTTTGTTCCCTTAGGCTCTGTAGAGTCAGAGCTAGGATAAAGAATCACAGATTTAGAGTTGAAGAAACTCTTAACAATAACTTAACAACCATTCCAATCCCCTTGATTTATAGATAAGGCAGGTTAGTCTTAGAAAGAGGAACCGGTTCTTTGTGTGAGACTCAACAAGTCACATCACCGCTCTGCGCTTCTGTTCCCAAATTCTTTTTCTTTCTTTCTTTTTCTTTTCTTTTCTTTTTTTTTTTAAATGAGTAAGGGATTTCCTTTATTATTAGTGAGATTGAACATCTTTTCACGTCATTATTGACCATTTTTATTTTTCTCTACAAACTGATTATCCAAATCTTTCTCCCATTTTTTTCTTTTAAAAAATTAATTTAAGATCCAAGATACATGTGAAGGATGTGCAGGTTTGTTATGAAGGCAAACATGTGCGATGGTGGTTTGCTGCACCTATCAACCCATCACCTAGGTATTAAGCCTCCCACACATTAGCTATTTATCGTGATGCTCTCCCTCCTTCCAATCCCCCTAACAGGCCCCAGTGTGTGTTATTCTCCTCCCTGTGGCCATGTGTTCTCATTGTTTAGCTCCCACTTATAAGTGAGAACATGCAGTGTTTGGTTTTCTGTTCCTGTGTTACTGTGCTGAGGATAATGGCTTCCAGCTCCATCCATGTCTCTGCAAAGGGCATGATCTCATCATTCCTTTTTATGGCTGCATAGTATTCCATGATGTATATGTGCCACATGTTCTTTATTTAATCTATCATTGATGGGCATTTTGATTGATTCCATGTCTTTTTTATTATGTTCTCACATTCTTAAAATTAAAGTTGGGACTAGTTGATCTCCAAAGTGCCCACATACTAAACGCTGAATGGTTTCAAAAGAAAAGTGAGTTAATGGCAGACAATAACCTCAGATCTCAGTTCCTACCTTGTTCTCACCAGTCCAGTTTGTGTTCTGCCATTTGCTCATATATTTCACTGTCACTACGTACTTATGAAATTTGTAAGTCAATAAATGGTGAAGAAAAGAAAAACAAGAAAAGTCATCCACATTTTAGAAGGGCAAAATTGTGAGTAAGGAGCTGAGTGGTTGAATCCGAATATTTTCATTAATTCCAAACAAAGGCAATGGAAAGTGGGAAGGAGGGGAATTGCAGTTCTATAAGCTATAGTTGCTCCATAGGAGAAAGGGAAGAGCCAGCAGTAATCAGGACTTTTTAAAAGAACTGTCCAAGTTCAATGACAATATCATCTAGCTCTCTGACTCTAGGCATCTGCCAAGAATCATGGAATCTTCATCTCAGTAAACTAAAACCAGGCTAGACAAAGCAGGCACAAAGAAGAAGAGAATCACATTCAATAGGTTAGTCAGTATATGGTAAGCTAGATCAGCCATGGAAATATGCATTAGTCAATAAGTTTGATACCTAAATCAATGGAGACATGGTCTAATAACTGACCTTTCATTTTTTGGGGTGATTTTCATAGGCATACATGTTTACATAGCAACTCCATGAGAATTTACAATAAGTAGATGCTGATATTCATTGACTATTCAGATAGTCTTCAACTTAAGATGGGGTTATCTCCTGATAAACTCATCGTAAGTTGAAAATAAGCAGAAAATGCATTCAATGCACTTGATCTATGGAACACAATAGCTTAGCCTAGCTTCAAATGTGCTCAGTGATATGAGCTTACAGTTGGGCAAAATCATCTAGCAGCACAGTACTCTGTAGAATTTCGGTTGCTTACCCTCGTGATTAGGTGGTTTACTGGGAGCTGTAGCTACCAGCTGCTGTCCAGCATCTTGAGAGCCTATGAACTGCTTTCTACCCACAGTTGCACCACCGTAAAGTTGAAAAATCCTAAGTTGAACTGTATTAAATTGGGGGCTTTTTGTAATCATTTAGGAGTATTAATAATATGTAAACAGTAAGAGGGAGAAATATACAGCAATAAATGCAGATGGCTCATTCCTAATTTGAGAAACAAGATAATGCAGTTTATTCTGAAAAGTGATTATAAATTTGAAATTTATGGAAGGAATTCAACATCAAACAGGTAACTTTAAGAGGGAAACTCTTCCTGACCCTTAGCTAGACTAAGTTATGTTCAGATAAAGCAATCTGACTTCACACACATATGGGTTGCCGGACTTTTCTCTCACTTACATAATTTTGAAATAATTTGTGGAATCATTTGTTTAATGTAAACATTCTTAGATTTTCCAGAGAGATTATGGACCTTGCCTTGGTCATGGGTGTAGTCCCAGCCCTTAGAAGAGTATCTGTCATGCAGCAGGCATTCAAAAAACATTTGTTTAATGAAGAAATGTCCATGCTACAATATGTTTGAACAGAGGAGAGGGATAGAAAGAAAAAAAAAGACTGGAAAAGAAAGAGAGAGAAAGGCATTATTCAGAGGAAGAAGATAAAAGAGATGAACAGAGACTGGACTATCCCCATGACATTCAAAACTGACCAACTGACTCTTTGTTTCACACATTGAGTGACCCAGGTCAAAGCCCTATCAGTCAGTATACTCACTTTGTATCCCTGACACACATATATTTTCCTAAGAATGGTTGCAGAGAAAGGCTGGAAAAAAAGGGGATGGAAATGAACATTAAAGAGACTGACAGGGAATAATAACAGTGAAACAGACAAACTCTATTGTGTACAACTCCACAGTCGAACATTTTCTACCTCCCTGAGAATCAGTCTCGCTTGCAGGTAGAGTATTGACTGCTAGGCAGAGCACCATGGCTATAAAACAGACCACTGAGCTAGGCAATAAAAGAGAGAGAGGGAGAGAGAGAGAATAAGAGGTCTAATGTCTTGTTTATGTCCCCTTTATAGCATCTTTGAGAGGCTCTGCAGTCCCACAGCTGGCTTTAGTTCATATGCTTTTCTGATTAAGGCAATACGTACCAAAGCAATCTAATATTAACGTGCAATTTAGAAAAAAATAGAAGGGTGTAAAAAAGGAGGAAATCTCCACAAACAGTGTAACTAAACAATAAACAGAATACAAGACTTGCTTAATTCTTTATTAAATACATGCTTTATTTTAAGTCCCTAAAACATTTGTATCTCATTTTAAACACCCAGTTCTACCATATTGTGTTTAGTGACACTAATCCTTCTTTATAGCCTAACCCTTTGAGAAATAAGATTATGTTCCCAGTAAATAGTAGTAACAAGTTTTATTATAACAATCCTGATCACAGATTTATAAAAACCTTAAAGAAAAAACATGGAAATAGAAATGGCTAGGATAATATCCAATATGAGAAAGATCTTTATTTAACATGAAGTATAAAGCTTGGCTGATGAAATGTCTCTAAGAATATTTCCAAGAATATATATTTTTTACTTTTCATTAAGAACTTGACTACTCTTTTTAATCTTAGACATTGGTTTTATGCTTTATAACCTTACCATTGTGAAACTCAGCGAGCCTAGAGAAGTTTGGGTACTGTGTGCAAATCTACTCAAGTGTTTAGCTTACCACATTGCTGAGAAATGACCACATATGTGTGTGTGTGTGTGTGTGCGTGTGTGTGTGTATTTTTTTTCCCAAGAGAATCTATCTTAACTCTGCTGATTATACTATATAACATATCATGACTATCTTAACTGTCAAAATGGTCCTAAGGTTTTGACGCAACTGTTTCAAATAAACAGTTGTTTTCAATTCTTTTTTATATATTTGTATCTGATCTTGAGATTTAGATTGATAATAATAGTAGAGTGGTTAAGTGAAGAAATTTAAGAGTCAGAGAGGTTATAATTCTGGCTCAGCCACTTACTATCTGACTGAGCCTCTGTTTTCTCATCCATAAAGTGGGAAAAATACCTAGCCACTAGGGATTGTGTGAGGATTGAATAATGTGCCTTGTGCAAAGAAGACAGCACGTGCCCAATACATAATGTGCACTCAATAAATGATAGCAATTTATAACTACAATAAGTGATTGTTAGTATTAATAATAAAAGCCACCCGTTATAGTGCAGTACTGTTACCATAACAAAGCCTGATGTCTATCTCAATTCTAAGAAAGGCTATTTTCTACCTCCTGTCTTCTCTGAATTTCTACTTATGCCATATTATCATCACCAATAAATATTTCTTGTAAGCCTAATAAGCATAAGGTATTACATTAGGCCCTCTAAAGAATACAGCCAGAATCAATCATTCTCTCATGTGGGCCACTACCAGATCTGTACTTCCTCTATCATAGCAGCAATATTCTATATAGTGATGATTTATTTGTCTCTATTTAACCCACTGGATAGTGTGCTTTCATAGATAAGTCTTACTCTATATTCCCAGCACCCAGCATAATATCAGGGACATAATAAATGCCTATCCAATGCAGAATGAATGAATGGAACATGGATAAGCCCAAAGAGTTCAGGTTGAAGAGAGACATTATGGACATTCAAAAGCCTAGAGAACAAGACAAAGTTTCATATACTTATGAGGAAAAAAAAATTGCCTTCTCTGTGTCAGTGAAATGCTATTGTTAATTCATAAATGAAGTAGTAGTCTCATCACGACAGTCTTCTGGGTGGTTTCATCTTATATTGTGAACAAAGGAATGGGTGGCAGAAGAGGGAGGAAGAAACTCTTAAAGGATGAATTACCAAAGAGTACCTGGGGAAACAATGTGATTTTTTACTGGGCTTACGGCATGCCAATCTTGTTAGTTTTGCGAATAAACTGACAAGTAGAAATTGGAATTTAGTGAGAAGTCTAAAGGGGACTCAGGCTTTTAAACACACACACACACACACACACACACACACACACACACACACACACACACAATCTGCTTTTGGCTATGAAAAGGAGCTAGAGTGATATAGAATGGCATCCAAGAGAGTAATGCACATCAGAAGAAACTAGCTCCAGATACTATTAGGTTGGTGGAAAAGTAATTGTGGTTTTTGCCATTACTTTCAATGGCAAAAACTGCAACTGCTTTTGCACCATCCTAATAGTTTTAAATGCAAGGTGCTTAAACTAATTGTAGAACCAGCCTTCTTGGCCTTATCAATCAACTAGCAAATATGCTTCAGTGTAAGTCAACTGATCAGAGGGACTTTTGCCAGGAGTAGTTTCAGAGATTCTAAGATCTGGGGCCATAGATGCATACAGTAGGAATGATTTAAGATGGGTCTTTAGTGTAGAATCCTATGAATTCCAGAGAAGACTGTTACAGGACAGAGAAGTTATTTAGTCTGACCAACCAGGACTGGGCTTGAGGTAGTTTCTGAAGAGGGATTCTGCAAGGCCCAGAGTAGAGCAGAGAGAGTTGCTCAATCTCCGACCAGAACTAGGAGAACTAGTTTAAAAGGAAGTTGTAAGAAAGACCTATTACTCTATTTATGAATGAAGTAAAGGAATGAAGACCTTACAAGAAAGATCAGAAATCCTTATCACTAGCATACAATGTCTACTATACAGTAGGCACCAAATATCATCTTGTTAAATTAATTTGTTGTTGCTCTGATACTTCCCCATTGTATTGATTTATCTTTAAATGCTTATCATGATTTTAATTTGGAAATAAGAATAGTCTTCTCATAATATTGGAGTGTCAAGTGAGAAATAACAAATTGTGGTTAGACATTGACAATCTCTGATAATCTGTCAAGACTTTTACAGACTTTACTTAGTTTAATTATCATGGGACGTCAGAGGGAATATTTACACCAGTGGATACTAGAAAAATGAAAAATACTGGTTTCTTCAAAAGTATAGGGAAACAAAGAGGAAACCTTTCTCCTGGGCATCATCACTTATTTTTCTTTGATATTTATTAAGTGCACACAGCATTCCAGGTCTGAAATAGCCTATGGCCAGGAAGCTTCTCCTCCTGGACTGGCATTATTTCTCCCTAGATAGAGAGTTATGAAACTCCAAAGCGGAAGGAAAAGTTCAGCTGTATACGTATCATCTGAAGTTCCCCATGGGCAGACCAGTTCTGATTCAAGTCAGGACGAGAAGAGATTAGCGAGTGGGAAGACAGACATACGGTGAATGTCAGTTGTCTCTGAATCTTGATTCTAATGAAAAGTCACAGCTTTTACTGGTAATGCCCTGAAGACCAGGCTAACTCAGAGATAACCTTTGCTTAGGAAGACTTCTTGAGCCGCCTCAGGTTCACCATACTTTTTCTCTTGCTCTGAATCCTCCTGGTACTTATCCTCACAGTATCTACCTCACTCATTTGCATTATCTTGCCTTTTTTTATTTTAGAATTGTTCCCATCATCATATATGTTCTTGGTCACAAGCAACTTGATCGTAAATAATATTAATTTTCCTTATGATCTGATTCTTTCAGGGCCAATCAGGTTGTGCAGAATGAATTAATGTGAATTGAAATTTTCCTAAAACTTTGAATCCCAACTTAGGTCTTCCTGGTATACTATTGTGAGGATTTCAGCAGAGTACAACTAGGACAGAATATGGTCTGGTCTGATCATTCAGTATTGAATTGACCTAGGAAATACTCTAGAAGATACTTGGAACCCAGGTATCACGCGGCCTGTTTTCCATTCAGATTCACCATCATCAGTTAGCGTAGGAGAAAAAGGGCAGAAGGAAGAACAAGAAAGTAAACAGCTGCTACCATTAAGAGGAAATCTCCATACAGTCTGAGATCTCCCAGGCTCAAAACACATGAGATTTAAAACAAAAAAAAATTCTTTTAAAGTTTTATTTTTAGTTAATACACAATAATTGTACATATTTATGGGGCACAATGTGATGTTTCAGTACATGTATACATTATACAGTGATCAAAATATATTTTAAGGATTCCCTTCAATTGTGCATTGGCCACACCCCCTACTATGGCTTTATTTTCTTCTCAGAAAGAATAAACCTGACAAAAGAAAACTAGGTTAAGAGTGGGAAGAAAAATGGGTCCTGGTACTCCCTGAAAATAATATACATTTGACAAATCTTTTACATTGCTTCTCTCCATAACTGTAAAATTAAAATTCTTGAGCGGAATGATCCCTTACAGATTTTTTTTCAGCCCTAATAGTTTATGCTGCTATGATTCTAGCTAATCAAATCTACTCCTGACAGTTTCTCACCACTGTGGAAAGTACTACAAAAAGACCAGTTGGGAACTGGCAGCTAATCTTCCATCCTTCTGATAGCTTTGCTGAAAAGCCAGTTCAACTTACCCCGTTTATACATGTTGAACTTGCCTAGATGCCTGACCTTTGTCAGATTTTGAAGAGAAGAAAGTAAAGGAAAGGAGAAACCTTCTCTCCATCCAACTTTTACTACACATGAAGTGGTAGGTCAGCATTAAATGACTTTTTATCTGTTTCTGCCTTGTGTATCAGAATATGGATTTTCCTAAGTGACATCAAGCTTAAAAAAGAAATTAGCTAGTAAATGTTTTCCTATCTATTGACACAAAGTAAAATTATGATGGCTTTAAACAATGCATTCTCAGCCGGGTGCGGTGGCTCATGCCTGTAATCCCAGCACTTTGGGAGGCTGAGGCAGGCGGATCACGAGGTCAGGAGATTGAGACTATCCTGGCCAACACGGTGAAACCCCATCTCTACTAAAAATACAAAAAGTTAGCCAAGTGTGGTTGTATGCGCCTGTAGTCCCAGCTACTTGGGAGGCTAAGGCAGGCGAATTGCTTGAACTCAAGAGGTGGAGGTTGCAGTGAGCCAGGATCATGCCACTGCACTTCAGCCTGAATGACAGAGCAAGACTCCATCTCAAAAAAAAAAAAAAAAAAAAAAAAAAAAAATGCATCCTCTACATAAGGTATTGTTTAGGGCCCAGTTTCAGTTGCTGATTGTCCCCTTCTCTACTAAATTCTTCAGGTCTGTAGGTAGTACTCTTTCCCATGCACAAATACCCAACTAATCTTCAGACTTGGAAACTCCACTTAATGGGTTGTCCCAACATTTTCTTTAAATCCATGAATTTCACACTTACTTCCTTTTTTGTTCAATACTTCAAAAAAATTATTATTACTTTTAGAGCCACATACAACCCTGTCTTGCATCTCTTGTATTTTTCTCCACCTACACATGGGCCTGTTTTCTTTGATTCTCCCAGGTCTATCCCAGCTGCTCCTTAGAATCATTCACCCACTCAACTCTTGGCAACTTCTACATTGCTGTCCCTTAATCTTGGAACAGCCTTCCAATCAATGTGTTTTGAGCCACCTCCTAACTTCAGAAAGAAAATTCCTCAAACTCCATCTGTTTAGAGACCATCTAGTTTCAATGATCAGTCTCCTCACCATTTTGAGAACTCTTCTAACATGTTGAAATGTAAATACTAATTGTTTTCACATAAAAATTAGCAAGCACTTTAGCGTTTAATCCAAACACCCCCAAGCTACACTTTGAATGAAAATCTTCAATTTCCCCCAACTTTCCCATTTTAAAAATGGGATTGTTTTATGCTGAAGTTAAGAAATGAATCTCCATTGCAGTCTGTGCATCAATGCATGAGTGAAGGAATGTTTGCATTGCTTTGGGCACTGTAGAGCCTAGACACTGTTCATGTACACATGGTTAACAATTTACTTCTCTCTGCAGTATTAAATCTTCTCATGTCAGAGACTAATAGATCACAGCATAGTTAACTTACTCAAATGACTTCCTTAATTCAGTACTGCCAGAAAGCATTTGAAAGCAGCAAATCCCAGAAGTCTTAGTGACTTCTACATTAAGCTAATGAAACGCATGTATTCATGCTACCCGGGAATGTTGGTGGCATGTGGCTTACACCTCAAACCAACACTCTCAGTGGGTAAACCAGGAGTGGCAGCGTGCCATTTTCGTATTTCTTTTCCTGAGCTGCACACTACCACCACTTTGATTTCTATCACAGCTGATTCCCTTTCTAGGAAACTTTCCAAGCTTGTTCTCACACAGCCTAAGAGCTGCCTTTTTTCAACCTTCATCACTTAGAATACCAACAATCAACATCCTCATGTATTTCCCATACTGGTCAACAATTTTATCAATGGCTTTGATAAAAGTAACAGAAGGCATGCCTCTTATATTTATGAATGACCTCAAAATAAAAAACGTCAACCTTAAGGTAAGTAAAGTTCAGAAATTTCCTAAGAAAAAAATAAAATTATTTATTATTAAATGTATGTAAATAAAACTTTCTTAAAATATGCACTACGAAAAGGTGGAATAAAATATATCAAACTAAAATAGTGATATATTTTATCACTAAAATAAATAACTAAATATACATGCATATATATTTATAGATGTATAAATATCTATGATATACAAATGTCTACATAGATCTCTACATAAAGTTTTTCTATACTTTCCAATTTCTGTTTAATCATGCTATAGTACTTTGATAAGAAAAATATATTTTAACAAGTCATTCATTATTGAAATGCATTTTGTTAAATATTAAAGACATCAATCATACAGAACTGATGGTTGTAAGCAAAATATCATTTTGCTATATTTGACAGAGATAAAGTTAAAAATTTCTGCACTTAAGGTTTAAAAGATAAAATCTGTAAGTGCAAAATATTGGAGATTTGTCTTAATAGTAATATAATTGAAAATTATCTTAGATTTTTTTTTCAAATTAAGAGTGATCTCAACACAAGCCAATCATGAGATTTGGCTGCCAAAAAAGTAATGGTTCATAGGAGGTAATTTCAACTAATGAGTCTTACAGAAGTAGGAATTGAGCGGTTGTCTTTTTTTCAGCAAACCCAGAATGAAAGAGCAAAGTCATAATAAGATTATAGACTAATAAGATGAATATAAGCAAGTATGCCCAACAAGCAATAGAACCCCCAAATTGAGACCTTCAAGCAAATTGTGGGGGCAAATTGACAGGGAGCTACTGATGGCATCTTATGCCCCCTTGCAACTTCAATGATTCAGGATACCAAGTTGCAATGGAAATGGGAATGACAGTTATTGCATCCTGTGGAGACAAACATATACTTCCCAAGAATGAAGTGTGATCTGTGTAGTGAGAATACTGGGCTACGCAGGAGAAATACTGAATTGGTGGCCTTGAGCAAGGCACTTAGCTTGCAGTTCCTTAATCTGCTTGTATTTAGTGTTATGCTGCCCAGGGGCTGGACAAGGAACTGGATGGTTTATAAACACAATTATACCTATGCCTTATACAATACTCCATGAGAGCTAATACTATTTTCAATTTATAGTTGACAGAACAAGCTGAGTGATCTAGTGCATAGTATCCGAAGTTTTTTTCTAAAGTTAGCATTCCTTGCTTCATTGCAAAAAGAAAAATTAGAGCCACCTCAAGTTTCAAATCTGATCATATAGGGTCTGATTCACCCAATGGTTCCTCACATTTTTCATGTGTTGTAACTTTTATCCATGAATATACAATTTGTCTGGTATTGTAATAAAACAATAGACTTTCAGGAGGAATGAAAAGGAGGTGGTGAAGGAATGGAAAAAAGTTTCCTTTAAGTAAAGCTAGAGTAATCTGCTTGGCATTCCTCACAAAGTTTAAAATATATCCCATTTATAACAATTATAATGGACTTCAGGGTGGGTGGGGTAAATTGATGAGAGATAAGAAAACACCTGAAAAGGTAAAATCCATTTCTAGTTAATTGTTATCAATTAAGTTGTTTTTCTCTCACTGGGACACTGTTCTCAGTGCCCTCAGGCCCCAACTACTTACAGTGAACAGAACTAATAGCAGTCAGTTTCATTATGTCTCCTTAACAACACGGGAACCTGTTGTCCTTTAAAAATATATAACTGTTTTAACCTTTACATTTTTTATTTACTCATACCTAAATAGAGAACTTCTGCTAAGGTAGGAGAAGTGAATACCAAGTTCAGCTCAATTCAGTTAGTTGTGCTAAAGGCTAAAATTACAGGAACAGTATGAAGAAATAATTGACAGCTGAAGTGCATGGTCCTATGAAGCTTCTCTTCGGGGAATCTGTGATTGCTCTTAATGGCATTTTCAAAAAAAACAGGTCCTGTTAATTTTCAAGATATTTTTAAACACTCGATTACTTTTAAAATAATCAGCACCATTATGAACTCCCAGGAGGCTGTGAATTAAGAAATGAATACCTTTATTTTATAACATTTTACAAAACACTCACTGTGGACAATAAATATCAAATCCACTAGGGGCTTGGGTAATGAAACACACGTCTTGAAAAAGTAAAACTGAAAGATGATTAGATAATTAATCACAATTAAATTTCTCAACTGATTTTGAAGGAGCTAAACACAAGAGAGCAGTCCACAGCTTCATCTTTTACTTGAAACTTTTTGATGCCTCAACCCCTTACAGATTTAAGGTACATGCTGAGTAAACCATTTTGGAGAAGAACCAACTATACCAGGTAGAAAAACTACATTTTGGGCAATCTGGGGTGGGGAGTACAGGCATGATTCTGAATTATGCCATTCATAATACAGTGAAGTAAAATAGACTGATTATGAATATACCATGTACTTGAATTGTCCTTGCAGTGGCACAGGGCTGATATCAACCAACACAAACAATAAATATAATGTACCTACATTTCTAATTGTTTATAATGACCATCAAATATGATTCTAGTTCTAATCTCTTTGACGATCTTCTAGAGGTCATAATTCTGTGGAGGACTTGCCTTAGCTCGGGCAACACTGAGAATCCAGTACATGTGTACTGGCACTTTCATAGCCACTTGGAACACATACAAATGCTGTATTTATCTTTATTGCCCTGTATACAAACCAGGGTTTGGCTTTCCTGTATCCTGACAGTCAAAACATCTTCCGGAAATGCTTCTCAGCAGGAAGTTGGCAGTAACTCTAAAATTGGGTTTCTGACAGGGCATTCTCTAAGGAGTATCGTTGCTTTGGAATTATAATTTTATGCTCCTTAGATTCCATTCAATTATATTGAAATTCAGGATATTTGTTGAAACCAATCCTGATACTCTGGGAATGATAGGGCATTCTTTTCTTATCATATTTCAGAGATAACTATCAATCATTCTTTTAGTCTTCCATTTCTTTGACACCCTTTTATTGAACATCTCCCACTAAATAAAGGTTCTCTGATTGATTTTATGCAACAGCAAAGTAAAAAAAAAAATATTGTTACTTTGAGATGTTTATAGTCTGGTTAATTATGTGGTCACTACATTAAACAAAAGAAAACACATCTTGTGGCGTTAGCAGTATGCTGACAGCCTGGGCAACGTGGTGAAACCTGAAGTCTACAAAAAATCCCAAAAATCAGCCAGGTGTGGTGGTGTGCACCTGTAGTCCCAGCTTCTTGGGAGGCTGAGGTGGGAAGACAGCTTGAGCCTGGGAGGCAGAAGCTGCAGTGAGCTGAGACTGTACCACTGTACTTGCTAGACACAGAGCGAGGCCCTGTCTCAAGACAACAACAACAAAACACCAAAAATAAAAAGTAAATATGTGTGCAAGCACAACATCAGACCAAAATGGTGATAAACAGACAGATTCAGGCATATGAATAAGTTGACATGTCCAATGTATCTAGTATCAGTCTTCTTTATTCCTAAAATATGGAATAAAATATGAACACCATTTAGTCCAATGATAATTCTTACATAGAGAAAGAAAGTTAGACAATAAGTTCTGAGACAATGTCCACCAGCATACAAGCTATTTAACCAATAAACTTAGATTTATTGGTTAATAATAATAACTGGTATCAATAATATATGAACATGTCATTGATACAAGTAAATCTCTTGATTAGACCCAAATGTATGAAATTCTAATACTGATTCTTTGTCTTTTCTCTCTTCTCTTATCTATGTCCAATTAGTTTTTCAAGGCCTCTCAGAGGTTATTTCTTTCAGTTCCCAAACTACATTAGGTTCTCCTATAATCTTTTCTTGGTTTGAAGCATCTTCGATAATTTTAAGTTAATAAATTGCTATTTTTTATCAATGTCCATCTTCCACTTTTAAACTTAATTTCATTTAGCTGACTTGTCTGCCTTTGCCAATATACCTATGACCATAGGAGAGTAACTGGAATGTAGTGGATATACATATCGTTAAAAAAGCTGTTGAAATAACCCAAACCCCAGGGAAGGCCTCATATTCAAATGGAACTTTAAATACACCATTGCTGGTTATACTTGGTGATGTTATGGTATCTAATTTCTTTTCGTGAAAAGGTTAAATTAACAAATTAAAATTTCAGACTGGCATGTCAAACTCAGAATTATTTATACCAAGTTAGGCAATGAAATGCCTACATCTTATACTTGATTTTATATACTTTCTTCGTCTTAAATAGTAGTATTAGACTGTATTGAGTATCAAACCATAAGTATGCATTCTTTCTGTAAAAATGGTCAAATAAAGACAGGTAAAAAGCATGGATTTTCCTGTATGTTTTTATAGAAATTTCATGTAAGCTAATAAGTTATAGGTTTGCCTATTTAAACAGGCTTTCACCTGGAGGACAATGGGGTGTTACAGGAAATAGGAGAAATTCTCATAAGGATGATTAAGTTTTCCTAACTTCTCCTCCTGCCCTTTTTTTAATTCCATGAATCAAAAGGGAAGTCCCCTTTGTACATTCTTCTTTTAACTTATAAAATCTATTTGAAAACTTATAATTTAAGAGAAGATCTTTTTGTGAATTTAGGAACTTATTCCTGAGAGCAACTAATTTACACAGGCTAGTGTGGCTCACGCAATGACTTAATTTTTAAAATATCAATGCTGTGTAACTGTACTATTGCTACAAAAGTTGGTGACAGGAGACCTTGGTAAGTGTTATGGTTTGACTGTGTTCCCCAAAGTTCATGTGTTAGAAACTTAATCTCCCATGCAGCAATATTGAGAGGTGAAAACTCTAAGAGGTGATTAGGCCATATGGATCTTTCCTCATAAATGGATTAATGTCATTAGTATAGGAGTGGGTTTGTTACAAAAGAAAGTTTGGCCCCCTCTTGCTCTCTTGTGCTCCCTTGACCCCCACCTCCCCTCAACACACACATTTTACCATGGGATGATGCTGCAAGAAGGCCCTCTCCAGATGCTAGCCCCTTGCTTTTGGACTTCGCAGCCACCAGAACTGTAAGGAATAAATATCTGTTCTTTATAAATTATACAATCTGTGGTACTCTCTTATAGCAACACAAACAGATTAAGAAAATAAATCATATTAGTATTTCACAACCTAGAAGAGCAGGAATTTTAAGAATAAACCCCTGAAGCACAGAGTTGATGTCATTTATTCTAATATGCTCTGGACTGATTTTCCCAGACTTTGGAAATGTTTTACCTTTAACTTCCAGAATAACTTTCAAGAATTTTGGCCTCCCTAGTAGAGCTCAGAGAGCTAAAACAGCAGAATTAAAAGGTCTTGGGAGTGAGGCAGGGCAGATGAAAATGAGAATGTTGTCTCAGATATGTTAGAGAGTTTCACAAGTTTGCAGAAAGAAAAAAAAGCAAGAAAAGACAACTGAAAGATACAAGTAAATAAGACTGAGATAAAATGCTGGAATAAAAGAGAAGATCCCTGAGTTGACTGTGCATTAATATGGAATGGGAAGGGGAATTGAAAAAAAAATAAAGCCTATAGAGCAAAATTTTATTAGAATAGCAATATCATAAGTTAATGAGTTTGGTTATAACTAAACCTAATTATAGTGCTTTAAAAATAATCTTCTTGGGAAGAGAATCCATGTGTTTCAAATTTACATTACATTTGAAATACAATAAAAGCAACCCTCTTAAAATATAGTTATTAGGGATTTTATCACTTATTTTGAAAATCTAATACATGATATTGAAGCGTTGGGAACACTGGGACAATGTTGGTTTTTGTCACAATGCAGCTTTATGGCAAGGATTCCTATTCTTGTTTATTTAAGTTCCAATGTACTAATAAGATAGGCTGGCTTTTAGCAAATGGATCAATGAGTCTTAATCCCAGATCTGAGACTCTCTGTTGGTTACAAAGCTTCTAATTTACACAGAAGAATAAGAATTAAAATGGTCAGGCTGCAACAAATGGCTTAGGGATGAATGAGAAACAATTGAAAGTAATTTCCTCAATTATGTCTCTTCTCTTTTTACATGCAGTTTCTGTACAATTCAGAGAGGTACATACAGAGGGACCACTTCATTTAGTAATCTATGTTTCCGACAATAAAAGAAATCTTATGAACAATTGACTTATTTTCATTTGTAAACATCTCTGCAGATTAATTTTTGCTGCTACTTAATGAGGCAGATTATGAAACTTACTTATTAATTTATCAAAGTTGCCATCTATGATAATCATTGAGGTGTCCCTCTCTTGAACTACTATCTGTTCATCACCAATACAGCCAATCATGCAATTCTAAAATGATGTGATCACAAGGCTTACATGATAACTAGCGATGAATTCATCAAACCAAACTTATTTAATAATACCAGAACTAGCAAAAATACACTAAAGGAGAAATTAAACTGCAAATACCTTCTCAGGTAGGCTTTTTATATGATTGTCTTACTGCCTTTCTAATTCCCATAGCGACCTCCTTTGTTATTATCCTGCTACATAAAGAGTTGACTGAGTTGAAATTACTTACAGATTATCACTACAGGATGCATTTTACTATACTAGCGTTTTGATAGCCCTGACTGTAAAACATTGCCAGATGATAGGATCATAGAAGAGGAATAGAAATGTCAATGCATTTAAGTCATGAGAAGGTGCCTTAGACTGCAATAGGTAAGGTGAAAAAGAGATGTCTTTTACAAAGATATGCAAATATTAAATATCATAAATCAGTTCTAAATTTTGAGCTAAACTCTCAGACCAGAATAATTTCAACTTTAGGGGAAAAGGTGAATTGATATACAGTAATAGAGGACAAAGAGAAAGCTCATAGTGGAAGTAATATTCTTTGTAATTGGTCATAGTTGGTGCTTGATAAATACATGTTTCATACATGAATAAACATGCGAAAACAAAGACGTAGTAGAGAAAAGTTTTCAAATGGGTATCCTGAAAGCTATATCAGGACTGCTAACTAGATGGTTTGGCCAAGGTAGTGTATTAAAAGCAAAATGAGCTTGGTACAGTGGTGTGCACCTGCAGTTCTAGCTACCAGGGAGGGTAAGGCAGGAAGATTGCCTGAGCCCAGGAGTCCAAGACCAGCAAAATGTACAGTGTTTAAAAATCAACAGATTTTACTTTAAATCTTCATTTCTTTAAAATTTGGATGACATGGAAACATTCCCGGGAAAGAAGAAAAAGGGGAGAACTATAATGGATAAATTGCAGGCAACAAACCCAAGACATTTTCAAATCAACAGGTGCCATCTCAAGAGAGAAGCCATTCTATTGTCCAGATGTTATCAATTTCTAGGTATTGTAATTTAAGGGCCCTCTCCATACCAAAAAAAAAAATAATAATAAAACATATGTATACTGGATGTTTTCCTTCTTTGAAACAATTTATTTCTTTAACATCCAAAGCGCTAAACATTACGTCTGTTTTTCTTATCATACTGCCATTTATTCTCAGAACTCAATCGCCTCTTTAGACAAAGTGCATTTCTCACGGTACCTGGTTTCTTTGGTCATTTAATTTATCTGCTTGCTGAAATTTGAGTCTTGTGACCCTCCAAGTAGAAGTTCAATGAAATATTTCAGGGAGAAGGATTACAGGATAGTGTGCTGTTTTCAAAATACACAAAACAGGAAACTGTTAATTTAAGAAGTAAAGATATTTTGGCTGTGGAAAACAGAAAGAACTTAAGAAAAATGAGAAAGATAGGTAAAATTAGGCTGTTCCAAAGTCTGGATTTTTTGAAAACTTGAGATAGAATGTATATTGTTCCTCACTTTTATCATAACAACTTCATTTTTACTAGTATTTTTATTCTCTGAAGTTTGTTACATCGAAGTGTTCCTTTAGCAGGAATAGATAGATTTGAAAAATAGGCTTAATCTACTATTTCTTCAGGACTTTCTCCCTACATGAGAATCTGGCAAAATTACTGCTCACTTGCTGCTGACACATACAATTCCCAGGAAAAAAGAAAATAAGAGGAAGAATTATGCGAGAAAAATCACAGGCAGCAAATAAACCCAAGACATTTTCAAATCAACAGGTGTCATCTCCAGAGAGAAGCCACTTTGTTGTCTCCATGTTGCCATTTTCTAGGTTTTGTAATTGAAGAATGTTTCTCTACACTATAAATAAAACATCTGACACGGTAGATTATTCTCTTTTTTGAAACACTTTATTTTTTCAGCTTTCAGGATGTCACACGCTAGTTCTATTTTTCTTAGCTTGCTGACCATTTATTCTCAGTATTCTCTGCTAGATTCTGTTATTTTGTGACCTCCAAATATGAGAAGGCTCAGTTTTCATATCTCTTCCCCATCTAAACTCCCTTTCTGGGTAATTTCATCTTGTCCTGCGACTACAATCTATCTATATGTGATGATGCTTATGCTTGCATCTCCAGCCACAACTCTCCCTGAAAATTCTGACTCATGTATCCATCTACCTACTTGGATGTCCACTAGGTATATCAAAACCAAAGTCTAAAAACAACAACAAAACATCCACTTTTCCACTCCAACCTCCCCCAAAGGATAAAAGTCTTGATTTTCCATTCGCAACAAGTCTTCCGCTAATAACACCACTATTCTCACAATTAAGTGGGTCAGAATTAAAGAATATATTTAAATTCCGCTTTCTTCCACTCCACACCTCTAATCTGTCGGCAAGTGCAGTCTGCTCTGTCTCTAAAATGCATGTGGGATTTTACCACTTATTGGCTTGAACCTCACAACCACCTAAATCTAAGCCACCACTGTCTCTTTTGTGGACGCCTGCTACAGCATCCTAATACGGTTTTTTTTCCTCCCTCTTCTCTGCAATCTATTGTCCACACTGCAGCCAGAGTTATCTTTTTTTAAAAAATAAAAGTCATCCTCATGATCAAATGTTCCCAGTGGCTTTCTAACACACTTAGGGTAAAATTCAGATCCTTTTCAATAACCTGAATGATATGAGAAGGCATCTGGCCTCCTTCCTGCTCTTCCTGGCCTCCTACTCTTTTTCCTTCCTGCTCATGCTCCTCCAGTTACCCAGGTCTTCTTATTCTTCAAACATCTGCATTTGCTATTTCCATGCCTTGTGATCCTCTTCACCAAGACAGTCACATGACTACTTTTCTTATTTCATTCTAGGGTATAATAAAAGGTCCCCTTTCAAAGAAGCCTCTCATAATTTTTCCTAATATAATCTCCTATTACTTTCTAGCTCACTTTTTCCCATTTCCCTGCTATGCTTTTCTTCATAGGTATTATATTATACTCACATCATATTATTTCTTTTTTCTTTGTTATTGATATTCTCCAATAGAAATTATGTTCTAGGAGGATAAGAATTCTATTTTGTTTACACTTGCCCATAAAGCCTGACATATAGTTGACACTCAACAAATGGTTGCCAAATAAATGAATAAATTAAAGACTACGAGATTGAAATACCAGAAAATGATCATAACACTTGTCCTAATTCTTTACCTCACATCAAAAAGTGCTAAAATGTGCTGTTTAGGAACCCAACAAAGATCACTTAAAATATTTTATTAAACATACTCTTCTACAAGCAGAAGACATTATAAAAAAGAATTTTTTTCTACACATTATTTATCTTGCTCACATTTACTCTGATATAAAAATGGATTCTAACGTATATATCAGCTCTAGGAAAAATCAAAGCAGGTCCTTTATATGCTTGCTAGTTTTAAAATACAGTCTGATTTCATCCACTTCAATTGAATACGCAACTACCATTTCCTTGTACTCTGCTGAAACTTGTGAAAGATAACAAAATGAATCACAATAACTATTGTTTATAGAACAACTTAACTTATGCCAGGGAATGTGCTAAAAGCTTTACAAGCACTATATCATATAAGTTCCTGTGACAACTCCATGAGGTATAAGGTTCCCTATTTCAGAGAAGACAAAACTAAGTGAGTCAGACAACTTGTCCTACACCAGACAGCTGTTAAGTGGAGGTGAAATTTGCATCCTTGCCTTTCTGATGGCTACATTGGTCATTTTTAGTGTAGAACTCACTGCCACTAGCAGGACTCAAGAACACTCCTGGTGACCCTGATGACTCAGTTCATCCAAATATGTAAATCCTCTGCTCTGTCGTTAGGGACTAAGGTTGTTGAAGGCCATTTACCTATGTCTAGAGTATCCTTACCAGTAGATTATTGAAAAGTTATTGAATTACTAAAATTTAGTTTTCATAAACTAAAATTAGTACTTAATAGAGTTTACTGAGAATTCTAATTCAATATCCTAATGAGAAAGCTGGCTGCTACCCAACACCTGAGAGCAATGCAAATCGCACCCTCTGCAAGAGCACATGCAAACAGGCAGAACTGCCAAAATCTTCAGCACAGATAAAAGTGTAAGTGGTTTTCAAGTGCCATTTAAAGTAACATTATTCCTACTCTAAATAACAAATTCCTGTTTATTTAGACTTCATTATTGTCAATTTAACATGTGAAAGTTTCTTTGCTTAACAGTATCACATGTAATGGTACTTATTTGAATCAGAACTATTTGTGATCTAAAATTGTATTATGGATATATTTTTAGATAGCTACACATAGCAAACAATATGAATCATCCACATTCCTGCTACAAAGCAAATATATACATATATCACACCCTGCTTGAATTTTACTAGGTAGTGAATTTTTTGTTATCAAGAGTTTGAGAGTTTTTTGTTTTGTTTTTGGAATGGGTTATGAGGAATTGTGGTCAAAAAACGAGAACTTCTTTTTGGTGTTAACAGGGCTATGTCTGCTTTGCTCTAGTGATTCCTAACCTACTGTGCGAAGGAGGCATAGCAAGGCAAGACTGTTTAAGTATAACCATAAAGGGACTCACGCACTCTCAGGTGAAGTGCAAAAATACTGATCACGGTGCTCAAACATTCTGGAGGAGTAAGCATTCAAATTCAGAAATGTAAGATGATTTCTCAAAGAAAAGAGGAAAAACCTATCATTAATTTTTTAAAATATATCTTCCAGAGCAGGTTTCTCAACAATTTTACATAGAAGACGAGTATTTTTGTCTCCTTAAGATTTGGACTTAAGGTCAAAGTTGTTGAAGGTTGATCGGCTATTGTAAGCTTCAGGTGAAACCTAGAGAGGAGAAGGGAAGAAGATAAATCTACTATCCTAGATTCTTTTTAAGAAGCAGCACGTTCCACTCCTGACTCTCCCGAAGATGGTCTCAGGTCTTCAGGTGACCCTATGCAAGGACCCTACTGTGCACTCTGCTGAGTGTTCTGGCTCTCTGGTATCAGGTCACTGGGCCTACTCTACTTTTGGTGTCATTCTGGCCCTGTGAAGAAACTATGAGGAGAATCTGGTCGATGCATTTTGTAGTTAACACCGCAAAGGACATGAGAAACTTAGCCAGAGAGCTATTAGAGTGGCGATCAGTGACGCTGCTGCTCTACCCAGTCTGTCTTGTGTGCTTTAAGATGGAAGACACCTAATGCTGACTTAGCCTTCCCTAAAGTGAACAGACCACTCTTCTAAGGTTTCTGCTTGTTGTCAGGAAGTATAAGCAAAGAATGACAAGCAGAACAATGGACATTTGTTAAGTGATTGGCTTGCATACGTTGGCTCCTTCAATGCTAACAGCAACGAGTAGGTGCCATTATTACAGCCATGTTACAGATGAACGGTGGGTACTATTATTAAGTCCATGTTACAGGTGAGGGCGTGAAGCTTATCAAGGAGTTCATTGGTCATTTCTTGACCAGGACACAAGCTCCTAATGTTTCTCTCTTTTTTAAATCTGAGTTTTCCAACACTTTTTGATTTAAGAATTGATCTGGAAAGCCCTTCATTCACAGTTGTTTTCTGGCTACTGTCAGTAAAAAGGATAGGCTCAAAGGAAATCTGTTGTGTTTAGAATGGTGGAGGTATGAGAGATTTCTTTTTTATCTTTAAAAGCTTCATTACTTGTTTTACTGGTGTTAGTTATTGACTCTTTTTCCTTTATAGTAACAGAATTATTTCTGTATGAAAGGTTATTTAAAAAGTCACATTCTAATGGCAATCAATTAATTGACCAACAAATACAGTAAAATTGCAAAACAAAACCTTGCAATGTTCTTAAATACATTTGGACACTCAAAACAAGATAAAATCTTACAGATAATGTGAATACATTATTAGTTATTTCACATTAGAAAGGAAGAATGTTGGAAAAAAACATCATATTTGGTTTAAACATTGCTTTCCACACACACGTTTCAGAGGCTGTGACATTTTCAGGATCATAGATTCTTTGGCTGTTTTTCCCCTTTTAAGTGGGGATGATTTATTGGCTAAGTTTCCACAGTAACTCCCAGCACTTGTAGAACTGTTTAGCAAATCTGCATTATTTTGCATTTCCACTAAGGTCACGGTTTTCATAGATTCAAACAGCAAGGAATTTTAAAATTTCTCCCTCTACTAAAGTTTACTGGCTATTGTACTCATTATCTTAGCATTCTTATTAGTTTCTTTTGAGAAAGTACACCTGGTAAAGTCGAGTAACTAAAAAGGGTATACTATTCAAACGCAATGTTATTCAAGCATTGGAATCCTACTCAAATAATAAAAGAAAAGAAAACTGAAAATAGAGTGAACAAGGTTATTATGTTAGGCAGAGAAAAAAAACAGTATTGTGGAAAACATAAGTATGTGTAGGATACACATGAGACCTCAAACAGATGCATCTTTGTGGAAATGTAAATAATTTATTATAGCAGATAAAACTGGGAAGGAGCTTCTGCTAATTAACATACACAGTCATTTTCCCTGTGTAGAGAAGTCCAAAAACTGTTTCCATTTGCAGGCATGTGGTCATTAGACTAATGGGCACTGCCTTTGGACAGGATTTACTTATACCCCAGCTGGCTCAAAAAAGTAATCATTCTCTAATTAAGAGGCTTCCTCATGTGTTTTCTATTGTCATTTCTAGAGTTCCACTATATCTAGCTTGGTAGTACAAAAGTGGTATGCTATTTAATTATCAGCCAGTAGTGGGGCTGAGAGATACCCTGAGTTTCATCATGCAGTCATTTGTTTCTATTGATGGTAGAGGATAGGAGGGTAGGTATACAAGCATATACATGAAAGAAACTTTCTTTTCCCACTCAGTTGGAATAAATTATAACATGTCTGGACAAATATGTGCGTGACTATTTTCAGGACTGATTGGAGGTCATAATGGATTTTCGAAAGTAAAACTCAAATAGAGAATAAGCTTGATTATTCTACTAACCCTCTGTTTTTATGTTTTTCACTTAGATTTTAAAGGGTTGAGTTTTTAAAGGGCTTTAGTAATTTTTTAAGAGACGAATTCAAGAACAGGGGAAATGGCCACTCCTAAATATTGCATAAAACCTGGTTGACACCACATGAGGTCTGGAAGGATATATTTCCCATTATTAAACCTAGCTGTCCCTCATATAAGAATGGGTTACTTGCATTATTTTTTACTTTTCCATTCTTGATCAATATTTTCAAATGTTTCTGGAAATGTTTTCCAGCACTGTTAGAGGGTAACACATTTTCTCTACTCCTGAGTTCATGAGGAAGGATTTTATTTTTCTTCTCGGTTTTTCCCTATGCCTTTGATTACCACAGTTGGGAAAAATAATTTTAGGCATGTTCTGTTCAGTTCCATGCTTCTTCCTATTGGGAGAGCTTTTATAAGGAAGCACAGGGCCCTTTGCTCTTTCAAGGGCTCTAATTCATGGGTGCCCCTTGCCCAGGGCCCATCACTTGTGTGCATGGAGTTAGGCTTGCCTAACCCAGGGGTCCAGTAAGCAGGTTCGTGTGGCTCTCACCACTAAGTCATGTTGTCCAAATTGGTCTTTGTGCATTCAGGTGTTTTTGAAAAACCTTGTTCAGTATTCTGCAAAAACTTACACTATTCCAAATCTACCCAGCTCTGTAACGAGAGAACTGGTAAAAAAAAAAAAAAAAAAAAAAAAAAAAAAAAAAAAAAAAAAAAAAAAAAAAAAAAAAAAAAATTCTCAGAAAAATATTATCATTGAAAGGCATTTAATTTTTAATAAATAAATATAATAAGAACAGGTCTTTAGTTAAAAATTAAAAGGATAATGTTGCTTGATAGATGGGAGTCCAGGAAAGAATTGTGGTTAGGAGACATGAGTAAAATGCACAAATGTCAGGTAGACGAGTACAATTAACACTTGCCAAACAGAGCTTGTGGCATAATGCACCCCAAGAAAGAATAGTCTGAACAAACTGTACTTGGTTCCTCTACAGATTGTTCCCTTCACCTATTTGTATACTTTGCATGAAACTACTGTTACTTGCTGATATAAAACATTAATATGCTAGGAAAAAAAATCACAAATGAAGGAAGCGATGTCGAGTTTCCTTTATACTGACATATTTCCCATATTCCAATATGTGTAAGATTTTCCACATTACTGAAATGGAAAACATAGCAGAACAGACAAAATCAAGGATGATAATTGTTTATTCATCTACACTTTCCATCTTTTTTAAATATTCAAATTGTTTAGAACTCCATAAGGAGTGCTATTGGGGGGTAGGGGTCTTCAGAAACGCCGTTGCTCATATAAACATAATAAAGTGGGAACATGATTAAAATACTTAGATTTCTGATTGTAATGAATATAATAAAGAAAAACTAGCTTAAATAAATAATGCCAGAGGGTATCAATGGCTGGACAAGATAAGAGTTTCATTAGCAAAACCACAAGGCACTAGACCAGAAAGTTTCCAGGTGAAAGGACATTAAAAAGGTTCCATTGGACTAATGAAATTGGAATACACTAACAAACATGTCAGTGTGGACAAGTAAGGTTCTGCTCAAAATCTGTAAACTTATCAAGAAAGTATCTGCTAGAATTCTGAATGCTGAAACTGAAAAAAAGTGTGCTTTGGGCAAACAAAGAGGAATGTTTTGCATTCAAGAAGTGTATGTTTTATTTTTATAAGATTTGGTAGAAACTGAAGATATGAATATGTTTAAGAAATATACAGTTGATTATCAAAGGGCATGTTGTGATGATATTTCACACACCTGGGTTGATGCTCCGCAAGATATATCTATTCATGTCATAGTGCTGTGTGATCACCTTAATGCAAAATCCCAGAGCAGAGGCTCTTGTGAACTGCACTGAGAAGTGCCCACTCTAATAATGAAATATTGTGGACCTTTTCTGATACTCAGAAAAGTGGGTTAACCAATGTAACATTTCAAATTTAAATTTTCTTCCATGATTTTCTCGGATATTTTTGGCCCTGTTATCAAAATATGTTCATATTAGATACCAAGCGCTTTGTTTAGGCCTTCAGGTTCCTCATTCACACTCAATGTGGGAAGATGCTTACATTAATTTTTGTTTCTAAAATGGAAATATTTTAAAATCTATACCTTAAGATGGGAAGGCCTGCTAGTAAAATTACTCTTAATGTATATGTGTGAATCAAATACCAATATCACTAATGGTTTGAAAAATCACTGCCCAGGAGTAGCAGTAACTGCAGGACAGTCAGGAGATGTTCCAGTCTCTCCCTGAAAGCAGACATGTGTCCTTTGGCAAATGGTTTGATAACTGGGGACTTGGCTTCTTCACTGGTGAGAGCGGGGAGGGAGAGGGCTTAAGTGGCCCATAAAACTAAAATTTCTAAGATTCCTTCTAGATTTGATTCCCTTCCAAAGTATGACTAGGGGTACCCTAAGGGAAGACAGGACACTTTACTAGATGAATTCAGCTGGGATCCTACGTGAGACGTCTTTAATTGGTTATATTAATAGCTAATGGCAAACAAAAGGCAAGGCAGAGAAAAGGATGGAGCAATTATTGCATGCTGAGACCATTTTGGGGTAGGCAAGTTGCCACAAGAGCCTATGGTTGGAATTTTATTTTATTTTATTTTTTACAAACAAAACAATTCATTTAAAAGCAACTTAAAACACAACCAGGGTGATTTTCCTAACAGCTCTTTCTGGTATTTCAATATCTTGCTATATTCAAAGCTGGAGATAATCATGCAAACCAGCCAGCCTTTTCACTTCCTGGAAGCCCTAGTTCAGATTATTTTACTCTTAGGGAAGTGACCTCTCTTCCCCTATTGACCTGGGAAGGGGCAGAAAAATCCCAGTAGAGTGAACTGAAGGTTTGATACAAGAAGTTGCTCAACCTGGACTTGCCTAGAACAGCAGCCTTTTATTCTGATTGAATCTGTGGAAAATAAGACCCAGAGGAACTCAGACTAGTATAGCTTGTCTTCTTTTATCTATTACTGTTTGGAAAATAAAATTAATCTGTAGCAGAAGAAAAATAAAGGTGACAAACATTTGCTCTAGGTACCTAGGGATCAAAGTAACTGAGCCTTCATGTCTTTTTTTCCACTAATTTAATACATCCATTAATTTTATAAGTATGGATACAAGAGAAATCATTTTTTTGTTGGTTTTTTTAAATGGTAGACTTATTTGCTACATCAGCTATAATTTTTTCCACACCCCTTTTTTAACATCAAAAAAATGTAAAAACCTTTGCTTCAATGTAAAGTATGTTGAACTGTTTCCAATGATGAATATCATCTGCCAATCTAATAAATGTGAGTAAGGTGAAAACGGAATAAATAGAATGTGGGGGCGGGAAACAACCCTTGAAACGGTAATCAGCAAGTAAAGCTGAATTCCTATGCCATAGTGTCCCCTGCTGGTCGATTACGGAAGTAGTAGCTTTCGGAGAGCAAGTCAAACCTCTTGGTTAGGCCATATCATGTTTTGAACAAAAAAGGCACAAAAACGAAAGGAATGTGTGCATATTGTTTTTTGTCTATTTCTTTTTACATAGTCATCATTGGCAGTGGGACGAATGGGGGAAGGATTGTTTTATGCGTGAAGAATCCCAGAGCCCATTAGAACTAGGCTTAGCTCAGCCACTTCTCCAGTGATACGTGATCTGGCACTCACAGATCTTTCTTTAAGCCTCAACTCCTCCCTGTAAATTGCAATTAGTAATAATAATAAATGATAGATTTACTGCAGAGAGCTGTTACAAAAACATAAGAAGAGAAGGAGGAGGAGGCGGAAATTACACACAGTAAAGTGTACTTAAAATGATATAGCGCTTTCCAAAACAAATATTAATGTAAGGGTGCGGATTGGGGGAGACACTTCCATTAACAATTAAACTAACTTCCCTTATAATCATCAAAAGGTAATCCAGGCTGGGCACCCCAGGCATGGTTGCTGAGCTATCAGACTTTCAAATTCCTACAACATCACCTGGTTTCCAAGGACTTACTTGGGTACCTTTGAACAATGTATGTTGCTCAGATAATTTATATTACACAGAATTTACTATATACTTAGAGAGGTCTCTACTGGTTGGTAAACAGAGGTGATGGGGTAAAGGAGATTAAGGTGCTCCTTGTTTGCTTGATAATCATTAATGATTGAGTCTCCATCCTGTTGCTAGTTGTCTGACCAGCAGCATCTGCATCACCTGGGAGCTTATTAGAAATAAGGAATCTTAGATTTCATCCCAAACCTACTAAATCAGAATCTGCATTTAAAAATTATCCCAGGTAATTCTTACATATGTTCAGGTTTAAGAAACTCCACTCTTTCACATTTGGGCTATAAGCTTTCTCTGGCAATACATCAGTTGTTATCTAGTACATATGTACAGAATAGTATTTTTGACTTGACCTTATTTTAAAACTACTTGGAGAAATTAAATTAGAAGGAAAAACTATGGCTAAGGATAATTAATTTTTATGAGCCTCAAAAGAGACGATAATAAGATGACTTTCCTAAATGTAACTTAGTATTATGCTACTTTAAAATTTTTACAGCTTTGTAATACTAATTTTAAGGTAATCTCATGTATTTGTATTAATATACACATTTTATATTTGCCCTTAGTATCTGTGTTGATAAGAATTTTAAAATGCAGATTATTTCATTAGAAGAGATTTTAGAAAATAGACTCAAGTCTAAGCAGACGTTTGAAAAATCTAAGAGGGCCGTAGCTTCCATTAAAAATACCATTTACCCAATCTTTTGTCAGTTAATGCCCTCTGAACATAAGACAATGTTCTGAGTTGTTGGAAGTGGACTGCTATACTAGCAACACCTATGATCACAGTTTCTCTATAGATACAATTTTAAAATAAACCAAACTTGGAAAATGAGTGGATGGGTATTAGAAAGAAAATTCATTCTTTTTCACTTACTCCCTACCCCCTACCACTTACCCTAAGCTCCACCTCACACCCTCTGTTGTGTCTTCTTCCTTTAGGAATATTTTGTTTAGTTTTTTTTTGTTTGTTTTGTTTTGTTGTTGTTGTTGTTGTTGTTGTTTTTGGTCATAGCTATGCTCTATTTAATAGGTGAAAAGACTTTAATGCCAGTGCTTCACCCAGGATAGTTTCTTTCTAACTGGTCCTTGCTATAAAAGTATCCATTCTCCTCCTATTATTTAGTGTCCTGGCTATAGGTGAAGGAAGTCATCTGATTCAACCAGTGCACACTGAGGTGTGTGAACTCTGAACATTCTTCTTTAACCTCCCTAGTGGAAACCCACTGAGTTTTTAGGAAAGACACTCACACAACTCAGTGAAAAGCTTCTTAGCAGAACTTCATACAATTTAAGACACAAAGAGTTTTAGGGTTGAAGTGGGAGATATTTCAGGACCCAGGTACCTTTCTGGGTCCATTAAGCCCCTCCAATCTTCTTTAGCCTATTTTCTACCTAAACTATAGGCTCTAGCTAGCTACACAGGTAATATCCTTGTAGAAGGGTAACAATTGTGAGAAAATATGGATTTCAGAGTTTGTCTGATTTCCTTTACTGAACACTCCTTTGAAAGTATTGAAAAGTCATATGTTTCCAATCACTAAAGTTGGACATTAAGGATCAGGAAAAAGGCCTGGAGGGGGATCTTTGCAGTATAAGAGTTTTGACTCCCTGCTCTAGTGGTGAGAGACCTTTCAGTCAGAGAGAAAGGATCTTGACTTGAGAGAGTAACAGGGTTTCCAATCTGTTCCTTTCATTGAACAGAGTTCAAAAGAGGCTCAAGGGTGCACCTCTCTTAGGCTCTTTATATTGACACACTCTTCTCTTGCCAAAAGCTTGGTTTGCAGAACAAATCAAAAACACACCCTTGACAAACGTTCTGGTCTAGAATAATCACCTCTTCCCCAACTTACTATGCCAAAGAGGGGAGCTTAAAAATGACAAGGTGTGTGTGATATTGTCTATCTCTGCATTCTTCATAAATCTTCAAAGTCAATATATCTGGACTGAACTAAGGATATATGATGTTTCTCATGCTTTCATTTAAAGTAAGATCTTGAGGATCTTTCCACTTGCAGATTGATATGCATCACAGAAAAGTTTCCTTGTTGATGTTCAATGAAGTCGCAGGCTCAACACATGAGCCTACCAAACACGGCAAATAAAAATTTGTTCAAGATTGGAATTAAGGGCAAAATATCAAATAAAATGCTATTGCAAACAATGGTGTCTCTTCAAATGCTAGGTTTGGCATAGAAACCAACAATCTCCAAGAGGTGGAAAGAAAATGAAGATCTCTTAAGGGCAATGCAAACTTCCAGAGACATTAGGATTTGCTTAGCATATAGAAAACAATGAAAATAAAGAAAATAAAACAAAACTTCTTTCTATTGTGTCACAGTAATCCACCTGTTGGTAGCACCCAATTTGGGGACTGAAATAATGGTGATTTTCAACAGAGAAAATTGTACATTTCCTTTATGCATCCTTTCTTCACTATGTTTCTGACTTTTTCTTCTACCTCAACATGGTACAGTGGGAAGCAAACAAAATTGGGAATCAGAAGACTTATTTTGCTCCCAGGTTTATTACTCACTCACGTGACTCAAACACAGTGCTTTAATTTCCTGAGGAATTAATTATATTTGTATGAAAGAAGTATTGCACTCTATATAAATAATAATTACAGGAAAAATAATAATAGCTAATTCTTAATGAGTATTTCTTATTCTCCAGTCATTTTTGAAGGTGATTTACAATTGTTAATTCATTGAAATTCTCACAAAACTCTGCAACGCTAGATAATATTATTATCATTGTTTTATAGATGAGGAAATTCAGCCACAGATTGGTAAATCATTTGTCCAAGATCATGCAGCTGATAAATAGTGAAATCAAGATTAAGTTTAGGTAGTTGAGCTCCAGAGCTTACAGTTTTTCATGTTAATTCTCCTCCTCTGATACATTTTCAATCCCCTATTTTGATGCCATATCATGCTTTTCCAATGTTTTCTGCTTTCTATAAAATGTTGATACCTCTAGGAATAAGTCTTTAAATAATGGTTTCACACCTATTGGGAGAAGACATGATGGGAAAACCACCATAAAACAAGATGGAACTTTTAAGAGGAGACACAGTCATAAATCTGTTCTAATAAATAAAGGGGAAAAAAAAGAATAAAAAGTTAACCCCTTAAAGAAAAACATACTTTTAAAGTCTGTCTGGATCTTTTGTGAAGAGCAAAGGAAATGCTGAATAAAAAAGGATTTTGATTGTCCTTTCCAAAATATTGTCCCTTACCTCTTGGACATTGGTGACACCACCCACACTCCACCCACCTTTAATGACCTCTACTTTCTAGTAAAAAACTTTATCTTTGCATAAACTTTGTTGTTTTGACTCTGCAATCAGGAAGATACTTCATAGCTATATCTAGCCAGGTGTAGGTAGGATCTGAGTGGAAAGACAGAAAAGGAAGTTATATTCATTATAAATTAATGACATGCCAGGTATTAGGCATGTCCACATCCATAATTAATAACATTGGGTTAAGCATTTCCATTTAATACAGAGAGAGACAGACAGAGTTTGCACAGTATCTTTCCTTTGGTTCTTATCTAATGACTGACTCTCTTCCATGTACCTTTAAAACCACTAAAATAAATGGTCTACTTGGGAGGTTGATATACTAGCCAAGCTATAGGTCTAAACTTCAAATGCAATTTAATCTATGCAGCATTCCTTTTTCATAGTGAATCTTTAAAGCTCAATTTTTTGCATTGATTGATCATCCTGGGAAACAGAAAAACCTCAACTCACAGCTTCAAGAACTTGAAAAGCCCTAATCCAGTGCCTATATCCATCACCTCTGAGGACAACAGGAAAATTGAAAAGGAAGAAATTTCCTACAGACTCATGATAAACTTATTGATAGTAGTAATGATATACATTTTTTAAAAAATTATCAAATTGTGTATTTTTTAAATTATTAAACTCCCATGGCCTCAATATTCTACTCTGCCAAATGATGGGAAAATTTAAATTGTTTCTACAATTTCCCACATCTCTATAACATTAAAAGATCAACTTCTTAAAACATATGTAACATTTTCTTTCCTTGCCCCAAGATGCTTTTAAAGGTTTTATAAACTACCCTTCTTTGGACATTTTTGTCATCAATTTGCTACTTTTCTGTTCAAAATGAATAACAGCTTCCCATAGGCAATGATACTATTATCCTCTCTGCATATGTAAACTACCTCGCCTTCAGGACACAAAATTCAGTCCCAAATCACTGTCTTCAGCCTCATTGATATTGTCCCTCTCCTAAAGACTCCTATGGCTTGAATATGTGTCCCCTCCAAAACTCACGTTGAAATTTTATCCCCAATATGGCAATATTGAGTAGTGGGGCTTTTAAGAGGTGATTGGGTCATGAGGGCTGTCCCCTCATGGATGTGTTAATCCATCTGTGGATTAATGGGTCATCATGGGAGTGGGGGTGGTAGCTGTATAAAAAGAGGAAGAGAGACCTGAGCTAGCACACCCAGCCCTCTCATCATGTGATGCCCTGCACCACCTCACCTCAGGACTCTGTAGAGAGACCTCCGCAGCAAAAAGGCCCTCACCAGATATGGTTCCTTGACCTTGGAATTCTCAGCCTCCACAACGGTAAGAAATATATTCCATTTCTTTATAAATTACCCAGTTTCAAGTATTCTGTTATAAGTAACAGAAAAAGGAATATGGGAAAGACCACAGCCTTTATTCTCTGTACATGGCTTGGGCTTCATCGTCTTCTCACTCATACTATTTTAACATCTGTTGTATGTTTGTTTTTCCTATCCAATTAAACTAAATGTTAAATAATGACAATGCACTCAATAAATACTTGTTGTCCTTCCAATATTTATTCAGTAAATGTTTTCAGTGTATAGTATCTATATGCCCATCTTGGAAATCTAAGAATAAATAAGATATAAGCCCAGCCCTCCAAGATCTTACCATCTGGAATGGTAAGGTCTCACAAGAATGGCAATGTAAATTCAGTGAAATATTTCCAAGGGCTACTGTGAAGAATGCAAATCTGAGTCTACAATAGATTAACATGAGAATTTCCAAGTAGTAATGAGAGTCTGGTTAAGTTTATTGCCTGGCACAAGATCACACTAATAAAGAATATTTATTGAGCACTTACCATGTCCACATTTAGTTCTCACTACAACTCTAGGCAGTGTTTCTATCTTCATTTTGCCAGTGAGGGAATTTTGGCTTTGGAGACCAGTGTTTTCCCAAGGCTGCATGATGTAGCTGAGATAGCCAGGGCTTGGTGGAACAGTCTGGCTTTCAGTCAGCTGTAACCACTCTGCACTACTTCCTCTTGCTTACTTGGTGCTTTTAAAATATTTGTTGAAAGAATGACATGATGTAGCATGCATCAACAGTGAAAAATATGCTCTGCAATAGACTCCAAATTTCGAGGTCCCCCTAATTTGGCTGTAACATTGATTGTGTGTATGTGTGTGTGTATGTCTGTGTGTGCGTCTGTGTCTGTTTTAGAAATGAATTTACATTCTACACCTGACTTCCATTTGCCCCTCTGCATTCCCTATTGCCACAGCTGAAGAGTAGAAATGCTTTATGGCTCTAACTGGGAGCAGAAATCACTGCAAGTCAAGAGTTGGGTGAATCAATCTCAATCTCTCTCTCTCTCTCTCTCTCTCTCTCTCTCTCTCTCATATTTATATGCTCTAAATCTGACTGCACCTTTTCAGAACATCATGCATAGTATGAGGGGACTAAATTAAAACATCTGACACAAACATTGAGAGCAGGAAAAAAAATTGACATGTGGTAACTTTTTGGAGTGGCATTCTGGTTGATCCTTTTTCAAGGGGAGGGGAGGGTTGTTTACAGATGAGCCCAAGCTTGATGCATGCTGCAGCCAAGAGGCAGCTCTCCCCTTTGATTTTTCCTCTATATAATCTCCATGTGGTCCCCAAATGCTTAACCCTCTCTGCCAAATGCTGTAAAATCTGTCTTTTGATTTCACAGATGGAAAAGACTTATTAGCTCATGAAGCTCACCTCCTTAGGAGACAAGGAACTCATCAAATACCATTTACCCCACCCTTCGAGTTTGAAGTCTTTATCAGTTTCCTGGCCAAAACTGTTCAACCTCCTTTACTCATATGACATCCTAAGTATAAAGAAAACAAAACAAAACAAAAATCCATCTTTTTGTTTGGCTTCTAGTGGTCTTGGGACTTTCTTCCAAAGTGTTTCTCTTGCTGTGTTTTTAGGCAGTGCCCTAGGCAAAGAGAAAATGACCATTTGCATCTCTTGGTTATAAGTAGGCTTGTCATTCTCAAAACAACAACAATAAAGAGACATACTTAAGCACCCTCTTTTGCATTGGGACAGCATCACCTGGACCAGTTTAAACCTTTCAAACAGTACATAATTATACTCAAGATGAGGATTTTAAAGAACACTCGACTTGGAAAACCTACTTTTTGAGTTAAGCCCTGTTACCACCAAATCATTTGGTTTTCCAAAGTTTAGTTTCCCAGATGATGAAATTTCAAGTTCACTACAATAGTTACATGTATAAGAATGTAAGGTGCTGTGTCAACATAAACACATGATTTGATTATCTATTAGAATTTAGTGCAACCTGATAGATATGATTAGGCAATTCTTTATAAGTGGACACATCTTTTGTAACTGATTTTATTATACTCTTCAGTTAAAAAATAATCATCGTTCCTTCATTAGTTACAGGACAGAGTTCAAAGCTCTCGGTATTATTTTCAAGCCTTCCCTAAATCTGGCTTTAAATGTCTCTCTGATCTCATGTTGACATTCCCTACGTGAACCCTTTACTCCTGCCACATTGACCTTTTTGTCCTGTGTCCTTCCCATCAGTGCCTGATCTGACATGCCCCTTCTTTCTATCCCTCCTGCTCCCCTACATACAAGCAAGGATGTAGAAACTCGACAATCCTATTCTCCAATATAACCAGCAATTTTTAAGCCCTTCACCAGGATAGAGTGAAGAAAAAAAAAGAGTACCTCTAAATTTGTCTCTTTTTTGCCAACACTTAATACAATTTCAAGGTCTGGCTGGAATTTACTTCTTCTCTAAAGCTTGCACTGCTATCAGACCTGTGATGCTCTCCTCTCCTGAATTCCTATTGTTTTTGTTTTCTAAAACACACATGTGATACTTAACATATCCTACCACCTATGATGAGCTACTTTTGTACCTATCTGCCTCTCAGAAGTATGCAGGATGTCAACTGCACATGTGCAATGCATGTTCTCATATGTGTACACTCTTGTTGTATGTTGTATATTCTTAACTAAGCTCCTGGAGCAAAGAACTATTCACACACTCATTCTCCCAAAGACCAGCCCCATGGATAGTGTGTAATCAGTAAAATGAATGAATGAATGAATGAACGAAAGTAAACTAAGATGAAATTTTAACTGCTGACCTTTGCTAACACTCCCATGCTAACTCACAAATATTTCAGAAAAAAAAAGTATAAAAAAGACATAATGATGAGAAAAGCATTCTAGGCAGGCCTATTGATCTTGCCAAAAGGAGATGCAGAGTATAGATGGCACAGACTATGAAGCTGCTGAGATGTGCCTCACCCACTTTGAAGAGAGACCAGGGAGCACAGTACTTGCATTATCATTCCACTGTTGGTCTCTGAATCAAAAGAGAAGGAGGCAAGTTCCTAGCTTAAATAAATTATTTAGAATATTGATTTAACTGCCTGAACTGTGTTAAGTTATATCTGAACTAAAAGACAAACATTTGCGTGTTTCCTTTAATGGAATCTGTGAATTCAAACATATATTTGGGTTTTTAAAAATAATCTCCCTCTCCCTCTCCCCCTCCCCGTCCCTCTCCCTCTCCTCTTTGCATGGTCTCCCTCTGATGCCGAGCGGAGGCTGGACTGTACTGCAACCTCCCTGCCTGATTCTCCTGCCTCAGCCTGCCCAGTGCCTGGGATTGCAGGCGCGCGCCTCCACGCCTGACTGGTTTTCATATTTTTTGGTGGAGACGGGGTTTCGCCGTGTTGGCCGGGCTGGTCTCCAGCTCCTGATGGCGAGTGATCTGCCAGCCTTGGCCTCCCGAGGTGCCGGGATTGCAGACAGAGTCTCGCTCACTCAGTGCTCAATGTTGCCCAGGCTGGAGTGCAGTGGCGTGATCTCGGCTCGCTACAACCTCCACCTCCCAGCCGCCTGCCTTGGCCTCCCAAAGTGCCGAGATTGCAGCCTCTGCCCGGCCACCACCCCGTCTAGGAAGTGAGGAGCGTCTCTGCCCGGCCGCCCATCGTCTGGGATGTGGGGAGTGCCTCTGCCCCACCGCCCTGTCTGAGATGTGAAGAGCGCCTCTGCCCGGCTGCGACCCCGTCTGGGAACTGAGGAGTGTCTCTGCCCCACCGCCACCCCTTCTGGGAGGTGAGGAGCGTCTCTGACCGGCCGCCCCGTCTGAGAAGTGAGGAGCCCCTCCGCCCGGCAGCCGCCCTGTCTGGGAGGTGGGGGGGCAGCCCCCGCCCAGCCGCCACCCTGTCTGGGAGGTGGGGGGCGCCTCTGCCCGGCCGCCCCATCTGGGAAGTGAGGAGCCCCTCTGCCCGGCTGCCACCCCGTCCCGGAGGTGTACCCAACAGCTCATTGAGAACGGGCCATGATGACGATGGTGGTTTTGTCAGATAGAAAAGGGGGAAATGTGGGGAAAAGAAAGAGAGATCAGATTGTTACTGTGTCTGTGTAGAAAGAAGTAGACATAGGAGACTCCATTTTGTTCTGTACTAAGAAAAATTCTTCTGCCTTGGGATGCTGTTGATCTATAACCTTACCCCCAACCCCCTGCTCTCTGAAACATGTGCTGTGTCCACTCAGGGTTAAATGGATGAAGGGCGGTGCAAGATGTGCTTTGTTAAACAGATGCTTGAAGGCAGCATACTCATTAAGTCATCACCACTCCCTAATCTCAAGTACCCAGGGACACAAACACTGCAGAAGGCGGCAGGGCCCTCTGCCTAGGAAAACCAGAGACCTTTGTTCACATGTTTATCTGCTGACCTTCCCTCCACTATTGTCCTATGACCCTGCCAAATCCCCCTCTCCGAGAAACACCCAAGAATGATCAATAAATACTAAAAAAATAAATAAAAAATAAAAAAAATAATAAATAATAAAAATAATCTTAAAGAGACATAATTCTCTCCCTTTTAAAATACATATTCATAAGTATGTATATTTATAAAGGGTTATATACCAGGGCAAAAGTTACTGATAATGATTCTGCAAGAACTCTTAGTTTATTGCCTTCATTTTTAATTTATAAATGAAATAATCTAGTTCTTAGGTTGGCTAATACAATAATGTTTTGCTTTTTTTTCACTCTTTATAAAATTCATTTTACTTATTTTAGATACATGTCATAAAATCCTCACTTGCATTTGCTTATTTTTGTGGTAAGCTAAGAATTTAATCTTACTGAAATAATTATAAAAAATTAAAGCAATCATACAATATAATAAAAGAACATAGTCTGATTTTTGTAAAATAACACTCAGGGTATGCAGATATATGACAGACATACCTTTTTTCCACACATCTACAATGATACAATGATCTTATTTTCAACAAAGGCACCAAAAACATATCCTGGGGAAAAGACAATCTCTTCAAGAAATGGTGCTGGGAATACAGGATCCATATGCAGAAGAACGAAGCTAGACCCCAATCTTTCTCCATATGTGAAAATCAAACCAAAATGGATTAAAGTCTTAAATCTAAGACCTCAAACTATGAAATTACTACAAGAAAACACTGGGGAAAATCTCCAGGACATTTTTTTGGGCAAAACTTTCATGAGGAATACACTACAAGCACAGACAACCAAAGCAAAAATGGGCAAATGGAATCACATCACGTTAAAAAGCTTCTGCACAGAAAAGGAAACAATCAACAAAGTGAAGAGACCACCCACAGAATGGGAGAAACTATTTGCAAACCCTCTATCTAACAAGGAATTCATAACAAGAATACATAAGGAGATATAACAACTTTACAGAAAATAATCTAATGATCCAATCAAAAAATGGGCAAAAGACTTGAATAGACATTTCTCAAAAGAAGACATACAAATGGCAAACAGGCATATGAAAAAGTGTTCAATATCACAGATCATCGGAGAAATGCCTGAATAGACATTTCTCAAAAGAAGACATACAAATGGCAAACAGGTATATGAAAAAGTGCTCAATATCACAGATCATCGGAGAAATGGGAGAAATGCCAATCAAAACTACAATGAGATATCATCTCACTCCATTTAAAATGGCTTATAACCAAAAGACAGGCAATAACAAATGCCTGTGAGGATGTGGAGAAAAGGGAACCCTTGTACACAGTTGGTGGGAATGTAAATTAGTACAACCACTATAGAGAACAGTTTGGAGGTTCCTCAAAAACTAAAGATTGAGCTACCATAAGATCTAGCAATCCCAATACTGAGTATATACCCCAAAGAAAGGAAATCAGTATATCAAAGAGACATCTGCACTCCTATGTTTGTTGCAGCACTCTTTACAATAACTAAGATTTGGGAGCCACCTAAGTTTTCATTAACAGATTAATGCATAAAGGAAATGTGTTACATATACATAATGGACTACTGTTCAGACATAAAAAAATGAGATTCAGTCATTTGCAACAACACAGATGGAACTGGGCATTATTATGTTAAGTGAAATAGCCATGCACAGAAAGACAAATATCACATGTTCTCACTTATTTGTGGGATCTGAAAATCAAAACAATTGAACTCATGGACATAGAGAGTAGAAGAATGGTTACCAGAGGCTGGGAAGGGTAGTGGGGTGGGGGGTGGGAAGACCGTGTGCAGGGGAGGTAAGGATGATTAATGGGTACTAAAAATAGAAAGAATGAATAAGAACTACTGTTTGATATCACAACAGGGTTACTATATTCAATAATAGCTGCATTGTACATTTTAAAATAACTTAAAAGAGTGTAACTGGATTGTTTGTAGCTCAAAGGATAAATGCTAGGGGGGATGGATACCCCATTCTTTGTGATGTGTGTATTTCACATTGCATATCTTTACGCCATAAATATATACACCTGCTATGTAGTCCATAAATACCCCATAAATATATACCTACTATATACTGACAAAAAAATTATAAAAACATACCTTTTTTGGGGGAATATTTTTCGAAATATACCCCATAAATATACTCCATAAATATATATACCTACTATATACACACAAAAATTTGTATAAACATACCTTTTTTTCTTTTGGGAATATTTTTTGAAAGATGTTTTTTTAATAAAAAACAAACAAGATATAAAATACATGAAAATCTTTGAGTATTGTCTATCTTTCTTTGGGTAAAAGTCTTAAGGTTTTGGACACTACTATCCTTCTTAATTCATACTAAAAATCATAATCACTCCTAAAGTGTAGTAAGTCCCTCGGAAAATTATTAAATGATAAGCTTAAAAGAAAAATTTAATGTATATACTATAACCATTTAAAAAGGAGAGTGTTTTGAGGTTGTATAACCTTTAAAAGTACATTTTGAATTTCTATATTAATTTTAAAGTGCATCAATTTTGTCATATGAACGTTCGTAATACCAAATATATCAATAAACTGTAAAAATTGAGAAGGGAGACTATGTTGAACTTAAGAAAATTTCATTTGAAACCTATTAATTTCAGAAACAAACCATACATATATAACAGAAATAATTTACAATTAAAATTTTTACTGAAGCTCTTTCAATGGACACCCTTCATCTTTCCCATTACTCTCTTGTCACTTCATAACTATGACATGGATCAGGCACATTAAACATAGTTCTACATGAAGGAGTAAAGACAATGACAAAAACTGTGGAATGGTACATAGGAAGGACTTCATAGAAGCAGGGAGTAGGCAATGAGTTTTAGTGCTTTTAAAATTGAAAAAAGAAGATAATCATTACTAACTGAAGGTCTTTCTATAAAATAAAAATAACAAGGTAGTTCACATTAAATACATTAAATTACAGTTAAAGTTATTTTTAACTCCACAGATTAATGCACTTTCCCTTTCACAGAACTCATTTTCTATTAACTTTAGCAACCAGACACCAGAGGTTGCAGTGTAAGGTGTATTTTTTTATGGCTCAAATATAATTTAATCATTGTATTTTCTCTTCACTAGATTGACAAAGTGCACTATGAATTGGTGGAAATGCGCTGTCTCATCATGTGATGATCAGAAGCTGTGATAAAGATATCATTTGCTCCAACATTTCTAGCACACGCTGCATAGAGTCTGCAAATGTTCTGATGAAGCATGGATAATGATTTGAATTTACACTTCAGATCCACAGCATATTAGGCTATGGTCTCACTGGAGGCATGTGAAATATTAGCCATAGAGATGTCTTAACCACCATTTACATTTGTTTTAACATAAAATCAGCTAGGGTATAAAAATGCACAAGTCTCTCTAACTGTAAATAACCACACATCATCATAAATATTGAGTCCAGGACCAATACCTTATCACTCGTAGTTACATCTTTTTGCATTAATTCAAGAAGATCTTGTGACATAGTCTCTCACAATGTGATATGCTAAATTACATTAAAAAAAAACAGAAAAAAATAGACAAACTCTGTAGAGGCTTGTAGTTTCATCACTGTGAATCACTTTCAAATTCTATATTCCTATTTTTATGGCCAACTGTTAGTAGTTATTCAACAACATACAAAAAAAAAAAAAAAAAAGCTTGGACTAGTACCATTGATTTGTTCATTCAAAAAGAATTTGTTTAGTACCTCCTATATGGTAGCCCTATCCTAGCCACTGGGAATACCATGGTGAGCAATACAGTCAACAGTTCCTTCCCTCAAAGAGCTTATACTTCAGTGGAGACAGATGGGCAATAAACAGAATAACTAAGCTATATAATAAGATCAATTGTATTCTGTACTATGGGGGAAAACAGAGCAATAAAGAGAGAGAATTGGAAGTGGTGGAAGTGATTGTAAATGTTAATAGGGTAAGAAAGGCCTCACTGAGCAAATAAAATATACCAAGAAAGGAGACAGGAGGAAGGCAGGAAAGTAAAAGGTTGGGAGAACAAAATGCGCAAAGAAAGCTGAGAAACACTAATGTGACTGCTGGCCTCTGTACCTACCTTAAGCTTTGTGTTCCCTCTACCAGTCCCAGGTGACCTCCCCAAATATCCCTTTGGTCTTATGCTCTATTTCACTCACCATAAAATTAATAATTTCTATTTCCTTCTATTTTAGGAGACATATGAAAATAATATATTATACATTTTCACTATTGTATTAGTCTGTTCTCACACTCCTATAAAGAAATGCCCAAGACTGGGTAATTTATAAAGGAAGAGGTTTAATTGACTCACAGATCTGCATGGCTGGGAAGGCCTCAGGAAATTTATAATCAGGCAGAAGGGGAAGCAAACATGTCCTTCTTCACATGATGGCAGGAAGGAGAAGTCCCAAGCAAAGAGGGAAAAGCCCCTTATAAAACCATCAGATCGTGTGAGAACTCACTCACTATCAGTGGCATGGGGGTTACCACCCCCATTATTCAATTACCTCCCACCAGGTCCCTTCCACGACCCTTGAGGATTACAAGAACTACAATTAAAGATGAGATTTCGGTGGGGACACAGCCAAACCATGTAAACTATTGTTTAGGATATGTGTATACCTTTTTCAGAAAGTTATATTTTGCATTAGTGCAGTAAATGAAACTGCAATATTTACACAGATTCATTTTGAAATCTTAATCAAAAAACAGTAACGGTTTCCTTTTTACAGTTACATAAAAAATGAAGAAGGGACCCACCCATTAAACCTACCTTGAATGAGGAAAGAGATTGAGACTGAATTTCATTTCTGCCTCCAGTCATGTTTTATAAAAGCGGTCAAACCAGTTTTCCTTACAAGCAGATGTCCAGTTGTATCTGTATCTGCCTGCCTCCTCAACCCATCCTCCACAAGATTGAGAAAAGGAAGACAGTGTGCTCTTGATCTGGATACACATTTCAAGCCAAAGTTTTATAAAGAGGAAGTTCAATTCAATGTAGAAATATCTGAATGCTGTGTACTATTTTATTGGGTACAGAATAAAAGGGGCAGCAGAGTAACTTTTTGACTTCTCACTGCATCTTTTGTTTTCCTAAAGCTTCTGCTTCACTACGAATGAAGAAGACTAAAATTTCTCTGAAGAGAAGGAAGCCATCCATGATTTTTGACAATGTTAAAACCCTGATATTCTGCTTGGTCCTAGGTATTCTGCTGTATCCCTGACATTCTGCTTGGTAGTAGGGATTTGCACTGTGCTTGGTCCAGAAGACAAATTCCAAGCTCCTACAGAGTCTGATGGCTTTACAAATAACCTAGCTATCACAATTCTAAATAAGTGTGAAAACCCTGTTAAAGCACATAGGAAGGGGACATAACTTGTTTGGTGGGGAGGGAGAAGGCAAGGCTTTCTTGAGGCAGTAACATTTGAATTGAGGCCTGGAAAAAGAGTAAAAATTAAAGAAACAAAGAAGAAATGTACTGAAAAAGCAACAAAGTCCAAAAGAACGCACATCCAAGAAACCGAAAAGTGCAGGATCACAAAGAGAAGTATAAAATGTAAAGAAGGAATAAGGGATAGATGGGGCTGCACAGATAAGAAGGCTAAAATATCACATGTGGATTAAGAAGGACCATCCTGAAGGCAAGGTGGAGGAACGGAGTACTGAGAAGTTTTAAGCAGAAAAATAAAATGACCAAATGTGCATTTTAGAAAGATTACTAGTTCTTCCAGAGGTCTAACCGAGAGGTCACCATGATGATGACCTGAACCAGGGTAGAAGCTGGAGGAAAAATAAAATCAAAAGGATTTTATTTCCTTTGTACTTGAGAGTTATTTAGGAGATGAAACAAGTGACCGATGGAATGTAGGGAGGGGTTTCCTTCTTGGTTCACTGAGCACGTGCCTCTTCTTATATCTCTAAAGCAAGCAGGAATCTCCACTGAGTCCTGAACAGGCTCAAAAAGTTTCACCAAGAATGAATGTGCAACTATCCCAACAAGTTTCACCAAGTATAAATGTGGTTCAGACTCATTCCTCAACACATGGTGTACCCTCCTTGCAGCCTCCCCCAACACACACAGCTGTTTTATTTTAGATGCTGCAAATCATAAATGTGTATTACAGATCTAACAATTGTAAAATCTCCAAATAAAGTTATTTCTTTGAGTGACTGGAACGGAGAAAGGGAGCGGTGCTTTGTATTTGGCAGGAACTTAGATTAGTGTCTTTTCAGAAAGCCCAGTACATTTTGATTAGCTCAATCATCATTCAACAATTATTCTCTCTCTGATTTTAAAATTTTCATTAAAAGCAAATTTTTAAAAAGGCATACCCTTGTACAGGAGAACTCCCTTGGTATTGAGCAAATTCATCCAGGGATCAAGGGAAATACAAAATATTTTCACACCATTATCAATGTTTATGCTGTAGCAGAGGAATCAGTCTCAAACACAGGCAAAATATGCATATATTTTTAAATACCTTAGATGCTATAGTAATAAAAATATTAAAATATATATGGCAAATCCATTAATCTACTCTGAGTATGTCTATTAACATGTTTAAAGGCATAAGTGGTTTATCATATTTTTATCATATTTAAGTTACAAAAATCTTTTTTATTTTAAGCTTTTTATCATTTAAATCATATTTTTATTGTAGTTAAGTTACAAAAATCTTTGACTCTCCTTTGAATATTTTCAAATCAATTCCATAAGTGAAGACAAAATACACAATTGAGGAAGGGGCCATGATTTGCCCCAAAATTGTCATCAAATGAATGAACTCAATGACTTCTGAATCACACTTTTAAATCAGATGTTCCCATTTGATCTGTCAATTTCTCCAGGTTTGATACATAGGTGTAAAATCATCACACTCTTAAGGCAATGAACTGCAGGCTTAAATAAATAGTATATCTGAAAGAGATTAAGGCAATCGTATCTTTCAGAAGAATCATATCTTTCAGAAGACATACTTGGTAATGAGTTTTGGACTGCAAGTATCAGTTCTTAGACACAGCATGTGACAGTTTGGTTGCTTGGCTAAAGTTTCACAGCGAATAATTCATCTCTGCATCAGCTGGACCCTGACCTGCAATCTCATTAGATTCATTCTAGCCCAATATTAAAAGTATTTCTTGCTAATAATGCAAATGCCATTATCATCCAAGTAATAACTAGTGTCTGGTAGTATACTGATGAAATTTTGGGTATTCTTTTGCATTTTTGTCCAATTTTCATTATTTCTCAGTGGGAAAGAAAAAAGAAAGGAAGGGAGGCAATAAGGAAGAAAATGAGAAGGAAGGAAAAAAGAAACGGAGATAAAGAAAGTAGGCAGGTGGGTGTATCTTACAAATTTGCATACATACAATAGTTTGAGTAAATTGGAAATACTTAAACTTTATCCTTTGTAATGTAAAAACATTAAAACAAAAATTCTCCACCATGAAAACAGAAAATATATATTTGTATCTCCTCCCATTATATGCTTTTATGAGAGATGGTTAGTGAATTTTACACTTAAATAGACACACTTCTTTTTGAAACCTCAGTTTTACTTGGTACCAATAACACTGAAATAATCCTCCACTGTATCCCAGCTAATGCTTCTGCATCCCACCAAATACATCTGAATGCATGGCTAAAACAGAACACGTGATCTGGCCAGCCTTACACGTGTAATGAAAATCTAAATTAAAGAGAATGAGACAGCAGAGATAAAGAGGATTTGGGGAAGGAATAAAAGAGACTAAACATAGCACTGAGAATTCTCCTCTTTTTACAAAAATGACAGACTTAAGAGAGGGCATGGAACAGATTAAGAGAATTAACATGGAGAGGAGAGCAGAGGTATAAAAGGTATCCAAGAAAAGTAAAACATACAAAGGCAATTCAAATCAAAGTGAGCACTGCCTATATACAGACAGAAAGCGAGTCCTCTATGAAACCATACTTGGCAGAAAGTACTCATTATTAATAGAAAGTGAAATCATTTTGATATCTACACCAGCAGTCATTAAATAGGCCCACAGACTACCCCTGGTTTTGCAAATAAAGTTCTATTGTAATACACACATACATACATGTACACACACACACACACATACACACACACACACACGGCAAAAACCAAGCAAACAAAAATCATGAGTGACATTTATTGGCAACTAAAGTTATCATTGATTTTTGCTGCTATTAGTGGAGTGTTTGCATTGCCCTAACACTGGCCAATGGAGAAACAAATGTGGATGAGCCAGCTGTCCCTATGATACTTAACATCATCAATTTTGTGTTTAACATTTGACCATATGAGGTATTTCACTTAAAAGTACCTTAAGGATGAGGTTCTAGCATTGTGTGATAAAGTACAGCTCATGAAATCCACATAATTTTCTGGTTGTTCGTAATTTCCTTGTTCATAGACTGATGAATCAAAGAAAAGGACTGGTAAGAATTCTCAACCATATAACCTTGGTCTGTGTTTTGCTGTGGTAATCCTATTAGGGTAATCATAATTTACCACCCAGGAAAGGACACATGATAGTGGAAGGTGTTAATATTAATAATTAATACCAGTACAACAAGAATACATTTGGATTCCTCTAAGTAAACAGATGCATCTGGTCCTGGTCACCCTAGTCAAAATAGACCTGTGTGTGTGTGTGTGTGTGTGTGTGTGTGTGTGTGTGTGTGTGTGTGTGTGTGTGTTTCACATTGTTCTATCCCTCTGGCCTACCATATTCTTATTCATATATCTTGCAATGGACCCCTGTTATTTGCTAGGTGGGAGAGGAGACATTAATAATGCAGAAATTTTTTTTTCCGGGTATTTTTCATGTCAAAGGACTTTTACACTAACGTTATGATATGCTGCATTTCTACAAAGTTCAATATTGTGCTTGTTTTAAGAAAAGGAATTATTTGTGGTTTTCCACTTTGCATGCCAAAACAGCGATTTTCAATTTCAAAACTGTTGTATGCATCGGTAAGGATATAATTTACATCTATTCTCCCTTCCCCCTTCACTTTCTAAATGGAGCGACATTAAAATATAAATTCATGCAATATTAGGTAAGTGGGAAAGTAAGGCCTTTCTTTTGACTATTAAGCAAAGAATACATCTTAGGAACACCATAAATCATGCTTGTCAGGATATTCAAAAGAATCATTCTGTATAGTTACCATTCTATTATTTAGAAAGCACAGACATGAAACAATATAATTCAGCTGGGCTGCATGTATCTGATTTGCATATGGCTGTATCTTTTTAATCTGTGTTTTCACAAGATGAATATAATTAGCAAGATTTAATTTATCTTTAAAACCACTGAACTATGTTGATTACCTGCAGGATGACATCACCCATATGCACTAGTAGATTTGGACTCCTAAACAGAGCAATTCAATGTATTTTGTAGCTAAACAAAGTGCATACTGCAAGTTAAAAAGTGATAAACTAGTCATCCATGCAAGATGCATAATTCATCATGAAGAGATCAGAACTGTTGTTTTATCCTGTTTTCCTATTTTTTTCTCCTAAAGAAACCACAAATGATTTGGGATAGTCAATTTACAAGTCTGTGACCATTGATTAAAAAAATATTAAATAAACCCTTCAGTGGAACTGCATGGATATATTCTCTGTACTTCTCCCATCTGAGCCCTTCATCCACCTTTCCTTCATATACGCTTTCAGGTTAAGAATTTTTCACATAATGAATTATCTCTGACCTAACATTCTCAAAGGAGCTTATTTGTGCTAGGATGTTTGACTTTAAAGGAACGATAACAAGAAATATCATGTTAAACTTGTCAGCTATAAAATAAAAAGTATAATTTCTAATACAATGCATTATTTAGTCATATCCAACTTTTTAAAAAATTGTACAAATTCAAATCTGTGGTTCTGGGATGTTAGAGGCTCTAATTGCACACAATGTAACATGATAATCAACATAATTTCCTCTAAAACACCAGTTTGTGTCCCCATGAATTCTAACTATAGCCTAGAGTAAAAACAAAGAAAAACATTTTAATAAGGACAATGTATTACCACTGGGCTGATTATTTTCCCAGAGAAAGACAACCATGAAAATAAATAAAAATAAAATTGTTTGCATTAGAACTGGCATTATTAGATATATTTTACTCATTATGGAAAGAAATATCTGGACATCGAAGAGGAAAACTCAAACCACAAACCTCATAATGAACTGCTTCTCAACTGAAGTTGCCATTTAGTCTGACTGACAGTATTTTATTTCTAGGGTTGGCTTTATGTTGGTCTAATCTAGATTTTGTATTGAATACACACAGACATAGCAGAATATTTCACAACTCCTCATCAATCTAGATCAATTACTTATCTAAGTGCAGATGAAGATTTGATTCGTGATGTGCTATTTCTCAGAGAATTGTCTGCTTAACCGTAGCAACCAGAACCACAAATATAACTGGTAACACAACAAAAATTGAGAGTTAGGTCAGCTCATAGAAGAAATATACAAGGCAGTTACGTGGATAAATCTTTAGACATCAAACACATGCAAAATTTTCCCAGGCTTCCTGACCACTCTCAGTTTTATATGAAAGTGCACTTTAACTTGTTGACTGATGTCATACTGATTTTCCTCAAATATCACTTTTAACCCACCACATTCCATGGAAAACGTTTTGCTGGCCAAATAAAACCCAAAGCCTTGAATTCAAATCTCATCACAGTCTGGCATAAACTAACATTTTCAGTCTACTAGCTCACAATTTTCCACATTGAATCCTTGACAAGTGAGAATTATTTCCTCATTCCCTGGTGAAACATATTCCTTTCCTGTCTATCTTTACTTAAGCCTTCTCTCACCTGGAATTTTGTCTTCCCTTCTATCATCAAACCTGTGGTTCTTTCATCTGATTTATCTAACTCTCATAGCTAGAAGTAAGCCCTTAAAAACAGGGATATATCTGTATGCCCCAGCATGAAAAACCTATTTGTGATTGATTGATTGGATCCCCTCCTATCCAAACTCATTTTTAGGTTTTATTGTACACACCCTACCTTGCCTGACTTTTCCCAGCAATAAGTGCTGGTTTGATCTGCCAGGTTACCCTTCAATGCTGTTTGGCTTTGTGTCCTCAATGGGCCATCTTATTCTATCTTTAGCAAACACAAAGAAGTCACCTTAAGAAGAAAAACGACTAGAAAAGAAAAACGAGAGAGCATCATACCAGTTCCATTGCCCTAGAAAAGAGATAAGGAAGCGAGATATTAATTTTTTTCATAATTAATTAATAAAAATCTTTATTGATCCCCTACATATCTACTAGGAGCTGAAGATACAGCAGTGAATAAGGCAGATAACCCACCCACCAAGAGCTTCCATTCCTGTGTTGGAGGTTATAATGGTGATGGAGAGACACATGATAAAGCATCAGATAGTATCATTATTCACTGTTATTCAGGAAAAGAAAGAAAGAAATTTGAAAGGATTGCCAGATGTCAGGAAAGTGCTTACTATAGAGATGATGTTTAAGCAAAGATCTAAATATGAGAGGGAGCCAGCCAGACCAGCAGCTGGGTAATCGCTGGTATCTGCCATAGGCAACAGCAGGTCCAACAGCCATGAGGTGAGATCTCCTTTGCCCACTTCCAGAACTGAAAATTTACAGTGGAGAAAGAACAGCATACAGATAGGCTGGAGCCAGATCCTGTGAGGCTGTGGGCCACAATAAGAAGTTCATTGAAATGGGCCACAGTGGGAGGTTCTGAGCAAGAGAGCACCATGATTCTTTACCTTACATGAGAAAGAAGAAGAAGGAGGCGGAGGAGGAGGAGGAGGGGGGGAGGAGGAAGGGGAGGAGGAGGAGGGGGAGGAGGAAGAGGGGGAGGAGGAGGAGGGAAGAGGAGGAGAAGGAGAAGAAGAAGAAGAAGAGGAGGAGGAAGAAAGTGAGGAAGAGGAGGACAGGGGAAGGGGAGGGGGAGGAAGAAGAAGGAGGAGGAGGAGGGGGAGGAGGAGGAGGAGGAGGGGGAGGAGGAGGAGGAAATAAATTTTGGGAGAGAAACAAGATAGGGATTTAAGAGGAGAAATGTTTGCAAATCAGAGAGACGGTACCTGGACCTAGAACCTCTGACATTTATGAGGACTGGGAGACACTCTGCTTGTCTCTTGGTAGGCTGGTTGAGTGCACCGGCTTAGAGAGAGTGTAAATGACAGGGAGAATATGGGTCTACCTAACACTGGCTCTCTAACAATAAATGACAAAGACCTAGGTAAGCCAGCTCTGAAAATCTGTGATACTAAAAATGTTTTCTTCATATGTAACAGTATCAAGCACAACTTAATTTAATTAATTATATGACTTCTATTAGCACTTTATAAATACCCTGTTCTAGGCTAAGCTTTGTAAAGAATTCAGGAATTCAGCACCCATATCTAATGAGTATCAGTCCTGGATACCTATTTGTACTAAAAACCAAAGGCTTCTCCTTCTTTGCTCTGATTCTAATTTTCTGACCTTGTATACACTGGTTACTTACAGATTAATACCAGTAATATCAGTTATTTCGTATTGCATAATATTTTTCTGTTAAAAAATAAGAAGCATCCCTTTCTACCAATTCACTGTAGTTCTTCATTCTACATTTAGTAACAATGAGAAACTGCTCATTGAAGTAAAGCTTCTCAACTATTTAAAAACAAGAGACTGGACCTCAGAATAAGAAAAATTGTGTGCAGTGAAACAGGTTGTAATTTATACCACCACTTCAGGCCATATTGTGCATTTTGCCAGAAAAATAAAAAATACCAAACTTGATGGTGAGCATGCAACTGACTCCTGAACTCTTTTGTGATAAAGTATTCTTTCAAGATCCTAAGATGCAACACTAAAACATAATTGCTTGTATTAATTGTCAATAGTAGCTCATAACAACTAGGAAACTAAGACTTTATACTGGAACAAGCTCTGTTTTGTTGCCTTTCAATCAATGTCTTCCCTGGAAGTACAAGCCTTTATTTAACCTACACGTCTGGATATCTGAGAAGTTTCACCTTATGACTTGTTTCAATTATAAACATCCATTACAACCAGCAAGCTTCCTGTCTTACAACTACTCTCCAGCTGCTAGATTTGTAACCTGCAAGTTATTGTTTGTGTTAATGGCATCCTAGTTTTTATTTTTATTTCTGAAAAGCTATGGAGGCAGGTAGAGGCAGAGATGGAAGAGGTGGAACAGCATTTGGTATTAAAGGCCAACATGAGCCCATAATTATGTACATCTTGATCTTTGTAAATTAAGATCAAGTATATAATGTTGAACCCTAAATGCTTTCTATTCTAGGATTTGTTCAGGTTCATTTTCCTTTGTTAAATGCTCTGGTTGGCTCCATGTTATATATTTAACACCTCTTTCTTCTTGTGAGTTTGATCTAAGGGTTTCCAAAGAAGCATGATGCCTTTGAGATGAAGAGGCATGTCGTCATAGGTTACCCCCGACAGGGCCCCTGTTGCTGCCTGCCACACCTTCTCACCTTTTCAAGAAGCTTCATTCTTTCCTACGGGACCTTGAACGTCACTTCACCGGTATTCTTCAAAAACAGAAAATACAGGCTACTAAAGAGGAGGCACACTGGGCATGCCAAATTGTGGACATCCTTATCATATCCCAACCTCTGTGTGCATCTATCAGTGATACTTGTTACAGAGACATTTTAACATCCTTTCAAAAGGTAACTACTTGTACCTACAGCTTTTGTGATACCTGAAATCAAATGATATTATTTGAAAGATATGAGTCATGTGCTTCAAGGTAAACTGACCTTGCCTTTTTGATCTTCTAAACTATCATGTGGAAACTTGAAATTTCACTTTTCTTAGTAGAGAAGCTTAAAAGACCAACTCTAGGATAAAGCTGCAAGCGTTAAAGCTTAAAGAACCGTGAATGCCACCAATTGTGTTTCTTAGTTGCTGTAACTGTAAGAGATTGTATAGGTGAATGATCTAATTCTCCCAACAAAATCAGTCTAGATGACTTTTATTAATTAAAACAATTCTTATCCTAGTATACCTCCTCAGAGGAGGACAATCTTTTTAAGCTTCATTTAGTTGAGAAACATTCTCCTAAATTTGATGTATTTTATAAATGAATTTTTTAATAGCATGCGTACTGCACAAATTCTACAGCAACACAGTGTATTGTATTTTGTTTTCTACATTCACACCTCCCAGTACATGGTGACATGTATTTGAGAGTGGAGAGAAACTTCAGAAGCATATCTGAGTTCTTCCAGGACAATTTCCACATCTAATGTACCAATTCTTTAGAGGTCAGTCTTGTAAAATCATCTATTTCATTTTCCCTGAGGGATGCAGTTATTTTTGTTGCATTCGGCCCGGAAAAATTTCACTGCAAATTCAGTCCCTGACCCATGCCAAAGAACAGAATATAGCTACCCAAACCTTAAGATGTTTCTATGGTATAATACATTTCAAATGAGGTCCCTTTGTCATGCCACCATCATAATTGACAAAATATACATTCTCTCTGCTCCACACAGTATTTCTTTAAATTCACAGCCTTTCTTTCAATATTTGAACATTTAGAATTGTGTTGTACACTGACAGCACTTAATGTACCTGTAAGGGGAATGAAAGAGATATTTGGATGTATTTTCAAAATTTGAAGACAATATATTTACTGCCAAATTTGCTATGTCTTAGTGCTGCCACTCTTTACTGTCAGAGGAATATTGACATTCCAGTGATGTCTCACAAACTAAAAGGGTGGATTCCAAATTACAAGCTATCTTGTTTAAGATACTAAATCACTGACATCATCTAAATCTATTTTTGTGACGATAAAAATACTTTAATTATAATCCATTGCTCTCAGAAAGTTATAGGACGATATCCAAATGAGAAGCCATCAGCTTGTAAATACATAAAGTTGTGCAAGAATAAGTTAAATTACTGGCTATCTCTTTAGGACAAATTGTCAACATGTATAATTATACAGTAGTTTAACTGGTGAGGGGAAGGTATGCAACATATATTCTGCCAAAAAAAAAAAAAAAGCCCATAACATTCTGACAACTCATCCATATCTCTCGCCTTTGCTGCCATATCTGGAAATGGCAGAAATGCTTACATTTTTGGTTCTGCTCATATATCAGAGTATGTGTGACCCATTAGGTTGGTTTCTCTAGCAGATTTCCCTAACTGGAAGTGTCATGTAAGGAGACATCCACAAAGTGTGTGGTATTGGTGATGTGACTGCTATCTTCCTCTTTCTCTAACAAGTTGTATTAATGCAGCAAAAATCAACTGGAAGGGCATACTCTTGTCCAGAAAATTTAGAATGATAAAAATATCTAACCTAAATCAATTTGGCAAAGTTGAGGTGCTACCTGCCCTTGCTTCAGTCAGTAATTGAACTTTCCTTTGGTTCTGTTGACACAATAACAAGACCTAAAAGTAACTTCTTCGAATACATTTTTAAAAATTTCATGTCTTATCCATTCCCATTTTCTTTATATTTTGTCTTCTGCCATGTCCTGAGAAAAATGCCTGACTTTAGAGAGAATCCTTAGATTTACCACTTGAAACTTAAAAGATCAAGTCTGAAAAATGGATACAAAGACAAGTAGCCTTTTTGTTGGCGAACAGAAGAATTAGAAATAGGTAGTCTAAGGTCAGACTCACTTTCATTTTCCTCTTCTTTATAGGCAATCTTCTGATGCTTGCTTTTCCTGAAAGAACTCAGGCCCAAATTCTTTAGGGGGATTGTCAATCAAGAGAAGCGAGGATAAGATGAAAAATAAAGGCAAGGCGAGGCTCTGTGGCTCACATCTGTAATCCCAGCACTTTGGGAGGCTGAGGAGAGAGAATCACTTGAGTCCAGGAGTTCAAGACCACCTGGGCAACACAGCAAGACCCCCGTCTCTACGAAAAAATAAAACATTTAGCTGGGCATAGTGGCACACACCTGTGGTCTCAGCTACTCTGGAGGCTGAGGTGGGAAGATCACCTAAGCCCAGAAGGTCGAAACAGCTGTGAGCCATGATTGTACCACTGCACTCCAGCCTGGGCGACAGAGCGAAACCCTGTCTCACACACAAAAAAGGTAAATTGTAAGAACAAAATATGGTACACATTTTCATTGAGAGACACATTTAGAACTTGGTTTTTAATTTAAGAACTTTTGTAAATACATTTAAATTGTTCTATTCTGTAAACTGTCTTCAGTCATAAGGTAGTTAGATATTCGTTTCATTGTATCTTTCCAAGAAGACATACCTTATGATTAGAGGCGGGACGGGGAAGTGGGAGAGCAAGGAAAGAGATTAGCTTTGCTAACTGTCTAATCTGGATTTGTGTCTCTGAATAACATTTATTAGCTCTGGGCCTTTAGAAAAACAACAGATAACGATAGACCTTGCTTTAGCACATATATCCCTATGCTAAGAGGTTTACATTAATTTTCTCATTTAATGTGCACAAAAATCCAATGAGAAAGGTACTCTCATGATTAAATCCATTTGAATAGAAGAGGAAAAATAACTTTGCCAATGTCACACAGCTTCTAAGTACCATATTTATATATTTAGGTCTGTGAACACAGTATATTGCTTGTCTGAACAATATGAAACTATGTATAAGTAAAAAAAGCATGCGGGTATTAAATAAAACCTAGGTCTACATTCTTTGACCATTGTTTTTACTCATGTATTTTCCCATGAAAGAACAACATTTTTGCCATACACATTTTTTGGAAATAATTTTAAAATTCCTTATTTTATATTACATTTAGAATTAAAAGTAGTCATAATAATGGGAATAATAATGAGAGCATTTCACAGCTCTCATCGACTCCTAACCTGAGAGGTTGTTAAAAGTATATAGAGTGTCTCTAAAATATGGAAATCATCTCTTTTTTTAGGAAAAAAAAATACTTTTTTTTCTTTTCTTTTGAGACGGAGTCCTACTCTGTCACCAAGGCTGGAGTGCAGTGGTGCGATCTTGGCTCACTACAACCTCCACCTCCCAGGTTCAAGCAATTCTTGTGCCTCAGCCTCCCGAGTAGCTGAAATTACAGGCACATGCCATCACGCCTGGCTAATTTTGGTATTTTTAGTAGGGAGGGGGTTTCATTATGTTGGCCAGGCTGGTCTTGCACTCCTGACCTCAAGTGATCCACCCACCTTTGCCTCCCAAAGTGGTGGGATTACAGGCATAAGCCAGTGCGCCAGCCAATAATATTCTCAAAATTTTAATTTTGAAGAAAATAAAAATAGATCCAAGAGAAATAGATCAAGAGTAACTCACACAAAATCTTTCTAGGAAAAATAATATCTTTTTTTACAAAAAAATCCTACTGAAGAACAAATTATCCATAATTTTGTATGTATTACCTAATATTTGAGGCAATTGAGCATCAGCCTTCAAAAAGGAACCACCCCAGTTTCTGAGATCATGAGTTGTGCCCCATCAATAGAACTTCTATTGTGGGCATAATGGAATAAGACGAGAGAAGCACGGTGATCAGATGAAGGGCTATAGAACTAAAAAGTGATCAAAATACCTGCTGCATTTGCTATCACTTAAGCACTTTAATTATATATCTATTATGAAAAATTGCATTGATTTACATATTAATATTCTACATTTCAGCATGTGCCCTTTATATTCACATAAAACAGAATACACTCTGTCACACACATTTAACCTACCTGACTCAGCCATTAAACTAAAATTTGAGAGTGGGAGAAAAAAGAAACAGAATGAATACAGTACTCCCATTGTTCTATTCAATGCCTTGGATTTTAAATCCTTAACTGTCACTCAATTGAACTCTATTTTTGTCATTTTGCCTATCAGTCATGACGGGGAGTTTAACCTAGGGTGAGCCATCAGTTTGTCTCCAAACCATTTTTTAAAATGGTCTTATGTTCCTGGGGTAGGGACCTATGTGCAAATTTTTTATATCAGTCTGTAATTTCACTTTAATCTCAATGACTCCTGGGCAGGTAGAAAAAAACAGCAAGCCAATTTGTGCAGTATACCAACACTATCCAATAGAACTTTCTGTGATGATGGAAATGCTTCTTGTCTGACCAGTCCCACACAATAGTCATTCGCCACATGTGACTAGTGAGCACTTAAAATGTGGCAGGTGCAACTATCTGGTTTTTAATTTTAATTAATTTAAATTTAAATAGTCACATGAAGCCACAGTGATGTCTTGGTATAGTTTATGTACTTGCAGCTACATTATTTAATAACAAGCACAGCCCTGTACCAGGCCCCAAATTTCTAGGTGACTGTGAAAGACAAAATGCTGGAATAGTAACTGTCTTTCTCTATAGGCTTGTGTGTGAATTACCAGTCTTAGTTAATGTGTTTCTGGGTTTGTTTCAGGAATACTGCTGAGAACATTTCAACATCTGTTAAATTACACCAATGACTACAAGTCAGGGTATCTAATTCCTAATAGGAATCCTTACTACCATTTGGACACCTTTTGATTCTTCTCATTTGAAACTCTTGCATTGGCCACAGCTGCTGTTCTAAATTGCCTCCACATTCAACATTTTTGTCCTACTCTTCACCTTCAAGCTCAGAAAATACACTAATGCCTCATCCACAAAGGAGCCCAAGTTCATATGATACTAGTTCTGTGAATGCATACATCACTGCCACCATGCCTCAACCTCTCTCTACTCTTCCATATTATACTCTTCTTGTCAACAAAGATGCCCATGCTTTTTAAAATCTCATCCTCATACCCGTGACATCTTATTAACCCCTTTCTACCTGATCTGATCTCTTCTTCAAACATTATCTCTGTCTTCTTTTTGTATGTCCAATCTTTGTCTACCCACTGGCTTCTCCACTTAACATAAGCCAGCAATTTTTCCCAGTTCCCTCCACTAATCACACTTAACACTATCATAATTACCATGGCTTACCTATTCGTTTCCCTTGACATCCTAGGTTTTTCCTAAATGACTTCTTTGACCAGTGACCTGACAATCACCTAATCCAAGATACTTTAAAAACTCCCTTGGTTCTTTCTGTAGCTCTTTAATTGCTCATTCTTATTTGGTATGCTCCATCATTCCATTGCCTGAGATTGGGCATTTTTCAAGATAAGAGAAAATCAATTTTCAGCCTACAGGTTAAGCCTGCTGAATTTTTGTATGGCACAAAGGCTAAGAACAGATTTGTTTTTGTTTATTTTTATTTTTATTTTTTTAAATTTAAAAGTATTTCACATTAAAAAACCAAAAGAATATTAACATTTGACATCATGTAAAAGTATTATAAAATGAAAACATAATTGTCCAGGAAGTGTTATTATAACACAGCCATAGTACTCTTTTACCTATTGTCCACGGCTGCTTTCACACTACAATCACAGAGTTGAATAGCTGCAACAGAGGCTGTATGATCTGCAAAGCTTAAAATATGTATTATCCAGTCCTTTACACAAAAAGTTTGTTGACTTTTGCACAAGATGGTTCTCAACTTTTTTTTTTCTTTTTAAACCTTCTCCCTCACTTATCATTGCTGTTCCCAGCACTTTCATATAGTAAGGCAAGAACTAACAATTGTTGAATCCTATAAGAAGTCAGGCACTATGCCAGGTGCTTCACAAGCATCACTGTATGTAATCCTCACCACTAAATAAGGCAGGCAATGCTACTGTACAGATATAAAATCAGGTTAAATAACTTAAATAACTTGCCAAAAGTATTGCTCGATGTTAGCTAGCAATTTGCGGAGAAGACTTCCTAGTTCATTTCAGGGAGTGAATACCTATGCTCCACACCCAGGCTCATTTTCTAATCCCTGGAGCTCCACATCATTCACTGCATTCCAACCCGGTCACTTCCTCCCCTAGAAGGGCTTCTTTTCCTTTGAATTTCCCTCGCCATTAGTTTAGGTCAGAAAATAACTACCTCTTACCTGGATTAGGACCTGTTATTCTTTAATGCCTTTATTCTCTTCTGCCTTCCATTTACCCTGCATTTTCTTATCAACTAATCCCTCCAAAGAAATACTGTCTAACCCATCTCACGCACGTATTTACATCTCTGCAAGGATCTTGTAAAATGCTTCTCAATTTGTGATCTTGCCACTCCTCTAGTTAAAAGCCCTCCACAGATGCTAGTTGCCTAAAGAATAACTTCTATACTTCTTTCCTGTTACTTAAGTATATTTATAATCTGGTACACCCTACAACAAATAAAGCCAGTCTGGATTGCTCATTGTTCCTCTTCTTTCTGCCACTTGGAATTCCTGTCCCTTCATTTACATCTGATTACTTGAGACAGGAGAGTTTTTATCCTTCTCTCCCTGAACCACTTTCCTTTCATGTCATTTTTTTCTAACTGCCTGGCAGGAGAATTTTCAGTATGCATATCTAATCTCCATAACTCTACTGTAATCTCCTCAAAGGCATGTACTCATCTTATTCTCTTTGTACAAAATTCCTGATAGCATCCAATACAATTCAAGGTAGATTTTTTTAGTTGTTAACCAACAGCTATACTCTCATTTTCCTTTTTGCCAGCAGAGGCTCCATTTTTGTTTATACAGTGAAGGCTTCCCATCCCCGATTTCCGATTCCCCATCTCCAGTGGCTTGGTCATAATGGACCTAAACCAGTTAAGGCAAATAAATGGCTCATTGACATGGAAATGAGTCCCTCAGAGAAAGAATTTCCTCCTTAATAAAAAATGATACATAGAAGGAAACACCCTTCATTGCCAGAAACAAGCTTCAACTATCTTAAAACAGTGAGGAAAAGCATAGTTATCACACTCAAGCTATTCTATGGAAAGATGTAAAGCTCCTTGGTATTTGATGACTTGTTTTAGCCACTGAGTTAGTCAATCCCACTGCAGTCTTATTTCTAGACTTCTCATTAAGAAGTAATAGAAATTCATTACTGTTGAAGCTACATTTAATTGTGTCCATTATTATTTGCAGAGTCTTCTGATTCACATGTCAATAAACATTTCTTGAAATTTAAATATATGAGTGCATGTTTAAAAATACACAAACTTATATTGCATGTATGTTCTGTACTCAGCTATGCCATGTGTTATTATTATTTTTCATTATTACATAAAATACTATTTGGTACTGTTTTTGGAAGATCTTCAGTGGAAGAAACGTTTCTTCTATATATTTTCTCAGTATAAAACACATTACAGTTGTCTAACATTGATAGGTAGCTAGCAGGAGGTAATAATTTTTTTTTTTTTTTCTGATTTCTTCCCAGGGAGTTATGGGCAGCGAAAACGTAGTAGAAGTATGTATCACTCAGATTATTCAAAAATGAAAGAGAAACATAAAAGAGAGAAAGGAAAGAAGAAGGGAGTGAGAAAGGGAAGGATGGAAGGAGTTGGGGAGGGAGGGAAGGTGGAAGGGAGGGAAGGAGGGGAGGAGAAAGGGAGAGGGGAAAGGAAAGAAAGGAATATTTTGTATGCAAATGATAAATAGGTTGCAGAGGTCAGTAGCCTGATACTGAGACAACTTCAGAAATAAAAGCAGATGGTAGAGCTTTTGCTTTTTTTCTCTCTTGGCCACAAAACTCCTGCTAATTGAAGTAGCAACTGAACAAGCTGCTCTTTCACTCCCCTGACAATATTTATGTTTCACTTAGGTTCTGACTTTCACATTAAACACTGCCACACCTCCTGCTTACTCCTTGCTTCCGGTATCTAAGCCATTTTTTTTTTTTTTTTTTTTTTTTTTTTTTTGAGACGGAGTCTTGCTCTGTTGCCCAGGCTGGAGTGCAATGGCTGGCGCATCTCCGCTCACTGCAAGCTCCGCCTCCCGGGTTCGCGCCACTCTCCTTCCTCAGCCTCCCAAGTAGCTGGGACTAGAGGCGCCCGCCACCATGCCCGGCTAATTTTTTGTATTTTTTGTTGTTGTTGTTGCTTTTTTTTGGTAGAGACAGGGTTTCACCGTGTTGGCCAGGATGGTCTCGATCTCCTGACCTCGTGATCCGCCTACCTCGGCCTCCCACAGTGCTGGGATTACAGGCGTGAGCCACCTCGCCCGGCCATCTTTTGCTTTTTCTATGGGTGGATTCCTCTCTTCACATGACTTCATCTTGAAGAGAAACAAATGAATAAACTACCACTACCTCTCAAAGTATCTCCCAAGACTGAATAAGGTTTCCTGAAAGAAGGACAATGAGCTACTGTGAGTAAGTGACATATCCTGAATGAGAAATGGCAGTTTCCTACAAGCTGGACGCCAGACTTGAAAGAAACAGCACGAAATGGGAAGGTCATCTTTAAGAGTCTATTCTTATCTGTGAAATATATTTACAGCCAATAAAAACAATTTTTTAAAAAAAATTTCTTTGTTCACTTTTTGAATCTTGAAACCATGGAATGGAATTAATGTTACCAGCAGTAATTTTATTGTCTATCTTGGACTGCACTCTTCAGAACTTTCTCACTGCTGCTCTCATAAGACTATTTTTTTTTTCCCTCCTGCAGATCAGACTTTATTTCCAGAAATGGAAACAACATGAAAACTGCTGAGAAATTTGCCAACCCAGCTTGCCCACATATTTATATCTGTGTCAGGATACAGTATTGTATTTACCAAGATTAAATTATCTGCTGTCAAAACTCAATGAAAATCATGGTATACACCAAATTGCACTTTAGAAATATAAGCACCTATTTTTTTTCAAAATGCAAATAACATATTGAACTATGTATATTTACGGGGTTATACTGTACAAAATAGAAACAATATAAAATACAATATATAAAAGCATTTTAGAGACAGAAAAAAGTACACGGTTGCTAAGTTTAGCAGAGAGAGTTGGATGCTGAATAACTAAGAAGATTCTGCAGAAATGGGTTCAAGTTCCACATCTGCCACTCACCATCTGTGTTCTTATACAATCATTTAAGTAGTCACCTGCAAATCGGGGATAATTCCTGCCCTCCCTGCTTCATTTATAATGAATAAATGTAAACATGTATGTGAATACATTATGCAAACTATAAAATATATATAATTAAATGCAAGAAACTTTGAAAGATGACATATTTGAATTCCCGAAGTACTTCAATTTCTGCTCCAAAACTCAATTCTTCTTTCTAGAATCATAAGATTTTAAAAATGTAAAGAAACTTAAACATTATGTAGTCTGCATAGTATTCCATGGTATATATGTACCACATTTTCTTTATCTAGTCTACCCTTGATGGGCATTTAGGTTTATTCCACATCTTTGCTATTGTGAATAGTGCTGTGATGAATATACACAGGCATGCGTCTTTATGGTAGAACAATTTAGATTCCCTTGAGTATATACCCAATAATGGGATTGCTGGGTTGAATGATAATTCTGCTTTGAGTTATTTGAAAAATCACCAGACTGTTCTCACTATCAAGTGGGAGCTAAACATTGAGAACACATGGACACAAAGAAGGGAACGACAGACACTGGGGCCTTCTTGAGGGTGGAGGGAAGGAGGAGGGTGAGAATTGAAAAACTACCTGTTGGTTACTATGCTTATTACCTAGGTGGTAAAATAATCTGTACACCAAAACCCCGTGACACACAATTTACCTATATAGGTAACCTCCACATGTACCCCTAAACTAAAATAAAAGTTATAAAAATAGAAAATATCATGTAGTCAAACTCCTTTATTTTACATATAACTAACATAAGCCCAGAAATTTTTAATCACTTATCCAAGTTTAAAAAAGAAAAATCTAAAGAAAAAGAAAATTTTGAAAAAGAAGTCTAGATTACAATTTAATCTATTGTTCTTCCTGGTAACCAGCTCCCCTACTATTTAATATAGAAGTGTTTAACACAAGGCTGGGCATGGTAGCTCACGCCTGTAATCCCAGCACTTTGAGAGGCCGAGGCAGGCAGATCACCAGAGGTCGGGAGTTCGACACCAGCCTGACCAACATGGAAAAACCGCGTCTCTACTAAAAATACAAAATTAGCCAGGCGTGGTGGCACATGCCTGTAATCCCAGCTACTTGGGAAGCTGAGGCAGAAGAATCCCTTTGAACCCATGGGCAGAGGCTGTGGTGGGCCGAGATAGTGCTATTGCACTCCAGCCTGGGCAACAAGAGTGAAACTCCGTCTCAAGGAAAAAAAAAAAAAATACAAAGAAGTGTTTAACACAATTTACTGCTTTAAAAATGATTTTACATTGATATGAAATGTTTTAGTTGTAAGACATATTTTCTAACTAAAATCCCATTTTATTTTTACTAATCCCAGATAGGTTTCAGGGCAGATATTACTTTCTTTTGAAAGTGTGACTTTTCAGAACAAGGAGATGAGTAGCAGAACCAGTCATGGAATCAACATTTTGTACTTCACCTGGTATATTCTTCCATCTTTCAGCAATGCTCATCATATTTTGGCTAGAAGGGATTCTGTTTCTTTTAATAGTGCTGAATAGCATATATTTCAAAATGTAGGACAAAGTAAAATTAATTTTGCTGAGGGAGTCTTGCAATACCCTTTGTGATGTCTGGAGATACTCAATGGTATCTCAAAACTAGGATAAAGAATGCTTATACTAGATTATTCCATCTCCCAAAGTAATTTGTCTCCTAATAATAATCATAATTACCTTCTACAGTATCCAAACTGTAGCCTCTTTACTAGGCAAATTATTTACTGCAGGTAGGAAACCTCTGGTAAAAACTGCTTGACAATATGCTGCTAGAAACAGTCTTTCATTTTCCAAATCCATTCTGGGAAACCACACAAGCACACCTACTTTCAAGCTCATACGTGAATATAAAAGGCTATTTTATTTTTACAAAATGACTTATTACAGGAAAACCTAGTTAAGTGAAGTATTCCTTGCTAAAGACATAAGTAAGCAGTATAAATACACACTAGACCTGCTCAAATCAATATTTAAGCATTCAACATATCCACAAAATCCCAAGTAAAACTTTTGTGCCCATTTGTCCTCTTGGCACCAAGATTTTTCTACTCTCTACCTACCTCTACTGCCAATAACCTTATAGGAGCCTTTCCCCCATGTTCTCAATCAGGGAAGGATCTCGTGTCATTTATATCTTCCAAATAAATGTTCTAACGCAAGTCCCAGTGTTATTTTCACCTAAAGCCGTATCTGTTTTTGTTAGTCAAGAAAAGATTTTGCTTTCTGTGAAAATAATTTCAGTGTCAGTGAATAAATTGTAGCAGTATTACATGCTTCTGTGTTCAGTGTGTTTGTTGATATCATGTGTTGAGGGGGTGAGGCTGTGGGGAGAAGAGAAGGAAGGAAAAGGTGGAGGCAAACTCTTGTCTCTGATCTTGAAATTATGCTAGTCAGTTCCTACTAACTACTTCATGATACAGGGAGTTCTGGATGCATTTGTGTGTGTGTGTGTGTGTGTGAAAAGACAAAAAGGGAAGATTTTCTAAATTACTGACATTTTGGTTACTAATACAACGCTGGTCACCAAGAATCCATGGATAATGTCTGGGTGAAATGCTTTGCATCCTCTGAGCCAGAAACTGCTCAAACCTATTAAAATTCATTTGTGAATGTCCATTCTATAACAATCATCAAAACACAATTTCTTCCAATTAAACAGCAGAAAAATCTTCCTGGGGACTGATAGTGCAACAAGGAAAGAGGATCCTACAACCTCAGTTATCACTTCACAGCAGACTCACTGTGGCATGTTCTAAGTTCTACAGCCAGAAACACCAAAAATAAATTTCCTGTTCTTCCACCTGGGGCTCTATTTTCCTACTGCCCCAAAACCTGACTTCTAGTAGAATCAAAAAAATTTTCCCAGGTCATGGCCAGGAGTTAACTGAGTATAGCACAGCCTTCTCCTTTCTGACTTCCAGTAGGATCAAAAACTCTTCTCCAGGCATGGTTAGAAGTTAACTGAGTGTACAAGAACCCTGAGTTTTTGTGTTTCAATTTGCCTGATTTGCATGTGGATATACAGCCCCAGATGGAGAAAACTAGGAGTGGGATTTATCTTACATGATTCACTGTAGACAGCCAAAGCAAAATGTCAACCAGTGAATCTTTGCTTCTAGCCTGTCCAGGAATAGGCCCTGGGAAAACCTTCTGACTGCACTGGAACTGGGGGGAGTGGACTTGTTCTGAGCTGACTCAAAAATGCTAACAGAAAATGGCAGGCTACTGCTTAAGCACAGATGTCACTTTATTGTGTCAACTTGGAAATGATCAGTACAATCTGGCAAGTGCAATTTTTCTCACATTATGAGTGTGTTTGAGCAGGTGCTATGCTTCACTGAGGTCATATATTGTTTCCATGTTTTTTAATTTTTGATTCAAATTATAGGATGAAAAAGATTCTCAAATATAGACCTGTCCTAAGTTTTACTGGAGAATAAAAACGACTAATAAATGTTTTATTAATAATCAGAAAAGGGTCTAATGCTTCTCCCCAGGGGCATATTTGGTATATATGCTTTAAACTTCTACTAAATGTTGAAGAAGGAAAAATAACAGTAAGGAAAAATATAGAAAATATTCTCCAAAATAGATCTTCTGGTGGCTTCTCCTATGACCACGATGCATTCTGTTGTCATTCACATATTGTCTTGTTTGGCAAAAGACTTGCTATTTCTATAGTCACTATGGAAAGTTGCCACAGCTACTCAAAGTAAGCTGTCATTGGAGGGATATGCCTTTACATAAAATAGTACCTCACAGTCGGCAGGGGCCACTGTGGGTTCTAATGGCTAGCTTTAAAAAGCCAAAATTGTGTCTGTAGGATCGGTGGCTCTCTTGTCCTGCCAAAAGATTGAGATCAGACATGGTGACTACAATACCTCCAGCACTAAGAGTTGCAGCTTGGAAACAAGCAATGCAATGCAGTTGTAGCTAGGTTGCTGGGTAGTATGTTTAGTAGATGTTTTGTCTTTGAATCTTTCTGGTTGCCCCTGAAAAGTTGTCACATACAGTAAGCATAAGGTAGACAACAGTGCACTAAGTTTTAGAACATAGAGAAACATAATAAATAGTCATTGCTTTAAGAAAACCCTTAAGGAAAACTACAGTCAACAAAACTGAATATACAAATATCTGAACACAAAAGTGAACATTAAAGACAGTGTTATACATGCAGTAGCAGTTCTGACAGACGCAGAGAGCCTGATATACAAAGCAATTGGAAAAACAGATTCCTAGAAAGTTCTAAAAAAGGCCGGGCGCGGTGGCTCACGCCTGTAATCCCAGCACCCTGGGAGGCCGAGGCGGGTGGATCACGAGGTCAGGAGATTGAGACCATCCTGGCTAACACGGTGAAAACCCATCTCTACTAAAAAAAAAATAAAAATACAAAAAATTAGTCGGGCGTGGTGGCGGGTACCTGTAGTCCCAGCTACTCGGGAGGCTGAGGCAGGAGAATGGCGTGAACCTGGGAGGCAGAGCTTGCAGTGAACCGAAATTGTGCCACTGCACTCCAGCCTGGGCAACAGAGTGAGACTCTGTCTCAAAAAAAAAAAAAAGAAAAGAAAGATTACTGAAAGGTCATTATGTGCTAGGCCTTTTCCATAATAGATTTATCTTCATGTTACAGATTAAAAGAATTACTCAAAATATGCAGACTAAAAATCTACATTAGGCACTTTATAAAAGGTATCAGAGCTAGTAAATTAGCAGAGCATGGATTTCAATCTCCACCCAAAGAGTCCAAAGCCCACACTGGATCATTTATGACTAGAGGAAAAAGGGAAAGATTTACGGACACTTCAACTCATCCTCAAGAGTTGTCAGGATTTGTTCCGTTGGAAGCAAGGATAGCAGGATATTCCAGTGAGGATTTCAATATGAGCAATGACAGCAAGGCAGGGACTAGTATGGCATACACTGGGCATGAGGAGATAGGCTGATTAGAAAGGGGGAAGGAAAAAGGAGTAAAGAGAGAGTCTGGTTCCAGATGACATAGGGTCCAGAATCTCCAAAGAGATTCTTAGAGCTGGACTTAAGTTTGGAGATGGGATGCCGAGAGTATGTACAACCACTTAATGTTTCAAACCTGACGGATCTAGTTTCTGAAACCAAATCTGACTATAGTCTTTATTATTATTATTATTATTATTTAGAAGATAAAATACTATACCAAACTGATTGTATCTCTGCCCTTATGAAGTCAAGATGAATAATAAATAAATACTAAAATAGATGGTTTGATAGATGTCAAGTTTAAATGAGAAAATAAGGCAGGAAAGGAGGACAAGGAGGATAAGATAGGAGGTGTATAATTTTATATAAGGTGGCAAGAAAAGGTCTCATTGAAGTAGTAATGTTTGAACAAAGAACTCCTCCTTCCTCAGTTTTTTTGTTGCATTGCTGCCTCTCTTTCCCCCAGTGTGGTTTAGGATTATCACAAACAATAATCTTATATTTCCTCTAAGAGTTATTTTTTCCTTTGTGCTCATATTTTTGATTTATGAAAAGGTGCACATAACTTTCAAGCTATCATGATCTTTATGTTTAAGTTCATACCCTGATTTTCTATCTGATCAAATGAAAATTTTCATTTGTTTTTGATATAAGAAGTTTAAAGTCCATCCATTGTGACACAGGTGAAATATGAATCTTTAATAGATTTATGTGATTCCACTTCACTCTGAGTCTTCATCATAGATACTCTCTGTAGCTTTTTCGATTAAAGAAAAGCCAGACACATTAACACAGATTTTAAGCAATTGAAATACAGAGAAGATTATCAAATTTCTAGAACTTCTGATTGTTCTGTATTTGATGCCTTTTCTTCTACAGAATTTTTGAATTTGGTTTTTCATCAGAACACCATTGAAGATATCACTTAAGGAATCTAGGGAATTTAAGAAATGTTAATCCCCGTGATTCAAAGTAGATATTTTATCTTAAATGTAGCCACTTGTCTTAGGGGTCCCCAAATTATAAATTGGCTATATAATTACCTATTTCATGGTAAATGGATTATTAGTTCTTTTTTACTTCTCTGATTTCACTTCTTCTTCCTCTTTTTAAAATTAATTTATTTAAAAAGAAGGATCTGGGTGTGAATAAGTAGAGATATATTTCTTGTATGTCTTAAAATTTAAAAAAATTATACAACTTTCCATTGACACGGAACATTTAACAAGGTTTACTTTAGTATGATATTAAAATTCACCCTATAATTTTAATTGGGATAAATGGCATTTGTTCTTTCCAGCAGTAGGTGGGAAAGTTAGAAAACAGTATGTGTTTCCCAAGAGTCTAATAGGAAAAGAATGGGGTTGTGCATTTTGTCCAAGACTCCTACTCCATAGAAACAACAAATCGTCTGTATAACTTGTTCTGGGCTTTTTATTTTGAAAATCAATTATTTTAAGTGTAGTCATAAATGGAAGGAACAGGGAAGATGCTGCCATATAGACATAAAACAGCTTGATATTATTTTGGTCTTAAAAATATCGAAAAAATAAAAATTTTATTGAAAATTTCTGAAAACTTATGTAAAAAATGGTCATCCATCAGCATCTGATTTGGTGGTTTCCTGCCCATAAGGCAGATACACCTACTATTCAATTCTGTATTGTCAAAAATCTTGGAAAGAATCATGGGATGATATGATAAACCATCAGCTCTTTCCAAGCACTGTTATATGTTTACAGAGTTGGATCAGCATCCACTGGTAGTTCCTTCCAGTGAAGTCTCTCTAGTCAGCCTTCAGTACACTGTCTTAACATATGTCCATCACTGTGGCTATACTGCATACTTTCTATAGTGAACATAATTGTTATGAACAAGTACCCAAGAATGAGACTTCATGGGCTCAAATCTCAGCTCTGCTACTTAATAGCTCTATGATCCTGGGCAAGTTTCTTGACCTTTGTGTGCCTTGGATTTATCATCTGTTAGGATAATACTAGTGCCTGTAAAATATTAGCACCATGCCTAGCACATAGTGGTCCTACATGTTGCCTATCATTATTATTTCTAAGGTCTATATATATGAAATATTACAAAATCCATACTTTAAACACTTGAAATAAAAGAAGAATTAGATGCCACACATATCCTTAAATTTCCTTTGTTGTAACTTTTTAATTAAGTGCACACCTATACACCTATTGCTGAAGTTTCAAGTTATTCAGATTATCCAACCAGATAAACTGAGGCACCATTTTCTAAAAAGGGAGAAGATGAAGGAGGGAGAAATGTGGAGAGTGAGGAGGGAAGTACCAGGACTTCAATTTAGAACACATAAAGGTTGAGATACCTGTGAGATATACAACTGAAAATGTTAAGTACAATTTTGCATGCAAAAATCTGAATATGACATGTCTGGGCTAATGACAGAAATATCAGAGTTACTGGCATAATGATAGTATTTAAGGGCATGAGAATGGATGAGATTAGTTGGACGAGGGATATTAAGTGAGGAGACTTCTGGAATCATGTCCTGTGAAACATCAACATTTAGGAGACAGGTAGAGCAGCAGAGTTGGTGGACACCTTGGAAGAAGTCACAGAGGAAGGAGGACAACCATGTGTGTTTAGTGCCTTGTTTTGAAATTGATTAAGTATTGAGTAGGATGATTAGATAATGAGTAGGATGATATCTGAAAAATATTTAATGAATTTGACAATGTGAAGATGATTGGTGTTCTTTGCAATAGGAGTTTTGGCTACATGCTTTCACGGGAGCCAGATTGGAGTGGGTTGAATAGTGAACGTGGGTGACTAATTGACATTAGGTTTTATTCATAATTGAAAACTTTCACAGAGCTTGGCTGTGAAGGAAAACCAAGAAAAAGCGCATGAGGTAGATGTTTAAGGTTAGGTCAAGAGAAGCAATGTTTGGTTTATTTGTTTGTAAGATTAGTACAATCCATTAAATAATATTGACAATTCAAGGGGGGGAGAGAAATAACAGAAAGACTAAGTACTTGAATAGATAAGCAGGATAAGACAGTAAGCACAGTTCCAAAATACAGTATATGAAGAAGAAAGTGGAGATGGTGTGAATATAGGAGAATTTTCTTCTTATTGCTTTTAGCTTTGTCTTCAAGTACGGCCTTGGCCTTCAGTCGTATAGAAAGTGTGAGGCCAGAAATGGGTCATTTGTGAGTTTGTATGAGGACAGCTAGCAGCTCATGTTCTTATTATCTGTTTGTTAGTCTGAGGGGTGGAGCACTGGTAACTAAGTGATGTCATGTTACCGAGTAGAAAGGGAACTTCACTGAGAATTAGAATTCCAGGGTCCTAGTTTGCAATGTGCCTCTAAATCAGTATGTGATCTGGGCCTAAGCATTTGAAAATCTCTGAACCTCAGCTTTTATTTTATAGAAGGAGAGGCTTGGGGATCCTTTAGAATGACCAGTGAATGATCCATGCCACTGTTTGGTTCATTACAGAACTTAAAGAAGGTCTTCAAACTGCAGCTATTCACAGTCAAAATAGTTCCATATATACAATACTTATTTGTGTTCATGGACTAAACATGTAAAACCTTCCAGACTTTCAATATACACTTTATAAAATCTGTCCTCTGTTGTCTGTGGGGATTTTTTTCTGTCTTATAGATTGCCATTTGGAAATTTAAAAATAACTTAAATATTTGACTGTTTAATTACAAAAATGTACCTGGGGCATAAAAGGAAGAATTAAACATAAAATTTGATTTGAATTCTTGGTATTATAGATGGACTGCTTTTGAGGAGAAAACTACTGCTAACCACAACCTGTTCATCAAGGATTTTTCACTTCCTCCTTCACTGCTTTTGTGACTTTAAGTGTGCTTTATAAATTTCCGTCCAATGACAGCACAATCAAGGCATGCAATGATTCTTTCATTCTTCTCTGATAAAAATCTTTAGTCTTAGATAGCTAAAAGTGTAGTCAAAGACATTTAATTTTAGCCTTGGGGTATCCATTCTCTGTCACAGGAAAAAATAAATATACATAAAAGTAATAAGATTTCATAGAAAACAGTGTGGGACAGAGCTGCCTGACTTTAATTTTCTGAAATGCAAGGGGATGCAATTAACTCCCTGGTTGTGATTAGCCTCTTGGAAGCTGAATAACCTCAGTAAATTACAGCACCCACAGAACCCATAATGGCGTCATATACTCAATATTGTTTACTTGTCTTTGGATTTACAGTCCTGCAGATGAGTCATAGGATTTATGCATTAATAATGAATCAAGCCAACTTCAAGAAGCAGCGCTGCCTCTACTCGAATTACGTGTCTGCCTATCGGACCTTTTTAAAGTAGGTATTGGCCAGGACTAGTTTGAGGCACTGGCTCAGGGGCAATATTTAAGAGGACACCAAAAAGTCAGTGAGTAAGATAAATAACATTTTAAATCAATACCTTAAAAATCAAAATTAATATTTTAAAAATAAAAAGTTGTTCATGATGAATAACATATCAAAATTTTAAATAAAGACAAGATCAATAACAGTGGTATCCTGAGCTGTACTGGAGCCTGAGGCAAAAGGGAAATTCAATAATATTGATGCTGTCTTTATTTAAATTTTTCACATTTTGTTCATCATATATTTTTGCATTATTCAGATTGTTTTTTTCAAATATTGCAGTAAAATATAATTTATCTTGATTACTGAGCTTTTTGGTTCCCCCTTAAATTTAACACTCAGGCAAGTGCCTGACCCTCATCTCAGCATTTATAATTTAACACCAAAATAACTGGCATGCAGGAAGCACTGTGCCCGTAACTTGTTCCTGCTGCCATAATAAAAGCAGACTTTGCCTCTGGAAGCATTCCACATTTTACCCCACTAAGTTCTTTTCCTTTTAGTTTCCATAAAAGGGTTTATTCATGTGCTGTCCTAAAAGAGTCCTGCTGGATGGCCCGCAATACCCCACATAACCAAAACAACCACTGCATCAGGAGAGATAAAGAGTATCAGGAAGGAAAATAAATTCCATATATTTTGCTCAAAATCCTGGAACAGTTGTAAGGAAGGCAGTCGCAAAGAAGTAAAGTTTTTCAACTAGAGGAAGTACGTGAATCTCTCAGTGCATATACCTAACAAATGTAGATAGTCAATAGCTTTTATCCACATAACTCTTGGATCACAAAGGGAATGAATCATTGCAGTCAAAGAAAAACAATTTACAAGGAGGCTGTGTCCAATCTCAAAAGGCAACTAAATGAAATTCTGAGCTCTGAAAAATCTGAGATCCGCCTTTATTATCCTCCCAATTTGTGAACCACTCACCTCAGCAAGACTACAAACTCCATGAGGGGAAGAACAAGGACTTCTTGTTTGCTTATCTTTGTATCCTTAGTGTATTAGGATACATGGGAATTTCACTTATCCCTATACTCTGCACGAGGAAATAATTGCCACAATGTAGGTGGATGGGTATAATTGTCAACCTTAAGCAATGACATATGAAAGGACTTTCACAGCAAATGAGCAAACGGTATGACAGAAAAATAGGGTATGTTAGGGCAAGGACACCTGTGGCAATATTTCTACCTAGGGATTGGAAAGAGGAGATTTTCTCAGGAGAAGGCCCCTCAGGACTAGGGACATCCCCTACTCTTTGTCCATTCCTCCTCTCCATTGCTTTTCTAAAAGATAGGTCCTGAAACATGGTATTGACATTCTCAATTTCTTTATCTTTTTAAATAGACATTAAAAAATTCATAAACTGCAAGGCCTGGTTTAAGTTATCCCTCACTCATAAAGCCTAAGATATTTATACTGTATTGTATCATATTATTCTTGATTATACACCAACTCATATTGCTCACTAAAGCACATAAGGTAACTTTGTGTGAACTGGAAAAAAAAGAAAAAAAAAAGAAAGGTGTGCCTTCATCAAGACACATAGTTGCAGAAAACCGTATCAAAATAATGGTGCAACTAGTTGAGGTGGATGGTGCCTTTTACATTTTTGTAATATATAAATTGTACAATCCTATGCAATGACCCTTGGTCACTATGTCTGGCTTTTATTTTATATCTACATAGTAAAGTTAACTCCTTACTTCCTTCCCTCCTTCCCCCAGTCCCTTCCTCCCTCCCTCTTTTCACTCCTTCCTTCCTTTCCTATCTCCCCCTGCTTGCCCCTTCCTTCCTTCCCTCCTTCCTTTCCTCCTTCCTTCCTTCCATCCTTTCCCCTGTTCCTCCCTCCCTTCCTGCCTCCCTTCCTTCCCTCCCTCCTTCCCCGTCTTCCTCCCTCCCTCCCTTCCTTCCTTCCCTCCCTTCCTTCCCTCCTTCTTTCCTTCCTTCCTTCTTTCCTCCTTCCTTCCTTCCTCCCTCCCTCCCTCTTTTTCTTTGTTCCTTCCTTCCTTTACTCTTCTTTGTTCTCAATACTTAACATAATCCTAAACCCATAGCAAATACTGAGTAATACTTTTTGGCTGTTGAATTGAAATCCTCCTTTAAAAGGGGAGACACCTAACTGTGAAATCATAGGTGATTTTATTTTGTCTTCTACTTGTTCTATATTTTAATTGTTATACAAATATGCATTATTTTTATAATTAGACAAAAATGATTTAAACCTGCCAACAAATTTAGATGTTAAGTACTTATTCAATGGCCAAGCCCAAGTAATTGTGCCTTGTCTGATTTGAGGGAAAGTGCCCTGCATATTTACAAAAATGTATTATAATACCATGCAATTCAGGTAATGCAATCCTTTATCTTCTTGTTAAATAAAATTATCTCTTTACCATATTGCTACATTTTAGATCTCTCTAATAATGACTGCAACTGTCATGTAGTGAGTAGAATGGAAAATCCCTCAAATATCAGATTGCATTCTGATACTTTGACCCCAAACTAATCAAACTAAATATAAATTTTGACATTTTTTCTGGCCCTTCCACAGATTTAAAAAGCAATGCTGTCTGGGCATGGTGGCTCATGCCTGTAATCTCAGCACTTTGGGAGGCCAAGGTGGGCAGATCACTGGAGGTCAGAATTTCGAGATCAGCCTGGCCAACATGGTGAAACCCCATCTGTACTATTAATAAAAATACATAAATTAGCCAGGTGTGGTGGCACACACCTGTAATTCCAGCTACTTGGGAGGCTGAGGCACAAGAACTGCTTGAACCTGGGAGGCAGAGGTTGCAGTGAGCTCAGATTGTGACACTGCTCTCCAGCCTGGGTGACAGAGTGAGACTCTGTCTCAAAAAAAAAAAAAAAAAAAAAAAAAAGGAATTCTGTCCCAGAAAAGGTCGATCTGAAATCAAATTCATATATATATACATATATATATATTTCAAAAGATAGCTCTGTTTACATCCAGGATTTTCTTTGTTTTTATTTTTAGAAATAATCAGAAATCTCACTTGGTTTCTATTAAAAATGCATTTAGCTAATATTCACCTGTGTGAGTGCTGGGAGATTCCTAGATTTTTAAAAATCACATAGTAAGCAGGGGAACGTTATATATATATATATATATATATATATATATATATATATATACCTAATTCCCTAAATGTACTATCTATCCTGCTTATGGCTTCTTCAGTTGAAATAAAAATCTCACCACAAATGAAATAGAGAACTTCACTAATTTCCATTCACCAATGATGGCAGAAGCCCCCCATGGGTTATTAAGTCTGAGAGATGTGTGAACAAACATGATAATAAGCAAGTAAAGTGTATCGTAAAATATACTGTGTTCATTTATTGTGACAACTGGGGTGTAATTATACTAGGAAATGTACTGCACTTTAGTCAGTGAAAGTAATAAAATTTGAACACCAGGAGACCTTTCTCTACTCCGTGCTATTAAGCTACTTTTGAGGGGAAGGTGAAAAATCTAAAAATATAGAATGAATGTTCACTTTTATAGATTAGCAAAGCAGGGGTTAGTCAGATTCTCTGGTCGTCTAATAAATAAAAACTCTGTTCTTTCCTCATTAGCTGTGGATACACCACCAAAGAACATTTTCCTCAATTTCTGGGTAATTATAATGCCTAACTTTATGTGGATTGCTTATGCTATTCATCTCACTTTCTCCCTCCAATTAAAGAATAGAACGGCAAAACCAAACCTGACTCCATTGTATTGTAACTGCTTCTACAAAGCTACAAGTAGAAAAGCAGGAAAAAAACGTGCAAAAAGATAAGGAAACAAAGGGGCCCTCGGAGATGATAATGTTGCACAATGAGGAGTAGGTGTAATGATTAAAGCATTAGTGGTGGTCACTAGGAAACGTGAAAGGAACATGTAATTTCAGATTAGGAAACCCTGAGCTTCCCAGAGTGAACTGCTATTTGGGAAAGTGTAGTTAATTGAATTTTATGACACTTTTTACTAAACTAAAATGCATATCTTTTATTACCCTAATAGTTTCATTGCTACTGTGATACTTATGTGCAGTGATACACTAAAAAGCATATGCAACAATTCACTAAAGAGCACCGGAGTGGATTATTACCGTTTCCTTTTGTGCTTTGGCAGCCGACAATCCAGATCATAATTACAGGATTGGAGCCACCTGCCGACTCACTGAACAGAAGCACGTGGCTCCACATAAAATAGAGCAATTCTAACACTAAAATATACAAAATAAAATAAAATAAATAAATAAAAGAAAGAACTATGTTAAACCAAAGAGACCTTCAGGAACAGCCTATGGAAAGCTGGATATTTATTTTTTCATGAACGCCAAATGACTGACTCTCACATTATTACTGGCCCAGAACGAAGCAGAGTTTGCCAAGATCTTCCTGGTTAAACTAGATCATCTAATGAAATATCTGCATCCCAAATTGACTGGTGAATTCAGACCTTTTATGGTCAAATTCACAATAAATCTTTGATTTTAGAGCATATTATTTCTAATGCATAGACGCAGGAATGCAGGAATTGTCTTCACTTGTATAAAACTGTTGCCTTGGCATGCATTTAGCCTGCTAAACCAGTGGAGATTACCAAAAAGTAAAAGTAATGTAAAAATGGTGAAGTCAAGAAAGTGAATCCATACAGAATTTTTCTAATTGGATATTCTCATTTACTAAACAAGTTAATCCAAAAGACGACATTATTTCTTTCTGAATTTTTCCAAATATCACTTTCTAAGAGAAGTCTTCCCTCATTTCCTTAAGTCGACTTAGTCACTCCTTCCTCTGCCCTTTTTACATGCTTCTATTAGAGCAGTGCTTCTTACACTTCCATGTGCATATGAATCATCTGGGATCTTGTTAAAAGCATATTCAGAGTCAGTAGGTGTGTGGGGGAGGGAAGGTCTGTGAGTTTGCATCTTTAGTAAGCTTGCAGGTGCTGCTGATGCTCCTGGTCCTCTGACCACATTAAATTTCAACTTTTATTTTAAATATGGGAGTGCATGTGCAGGTTTGTTACATGGGTATATGTCACTACATTTTGAAAAGCAAGGTATTAAATTACTTCATAAATTGTCCCATAATGATCTGTACATGTCAGGCATTTCCTCTTGTGTATGAGCTCCTTGAAAGCAAAGGCAAAGGCAGTATCTCAATAGCTACCAATTATATAATTCCTACTAGTTTTGGGGTACAGGGAGGATGTTACCATACATCATCTTTAATTCTCAAATCAACCCTGCAAGATCTGTAATTGTGTTTCCATTTTACAGATGAAGAAGCTGACTCTCAGATATGTTAATCAACTTGTCTATGGCCACACAGATGCCATGTGGCAGTCAGAATGCAATTCTGGATCTATTTGTCTCCAAAGTCTGTTTTTTCTACTGCACCTGAAGCCTCATCTGTTTACTTCTGTAAATATAGAGTGTAGCAAAGTACCTATTGTTATAGAAGGTGCTCAAGGGATGTGTCTTGCTCTGTGATCACTTTATATATAAATTCACCTTTGCTCACAGTATCTCCCTTGTGTGAAATGCTCTTCCTGCTTCTGTCTTCCCAATTAAGGTCCATCTCACTTCCAACGCTCATTTCTACTTAGCCAGCACACAATTGTGCCTTTCCTCTCTTCTGAATGCACACGGCAATGGTTTGCAGCACACAATGAGCACTTAAATTGTTAGTTATCTTATTAACAGTATATTTACTTCATTCCATAAATATATACTGAGTATATATTAAACACCAGGCATGGTTGGAAGCACTTGTGATAGGTCATGGAGCAAAACAGAAAAAAAAAAAAAATCCCTTCTATCCTGGGTCTTGGAAATAATTTCCCCAACTAAAATGAAGACTTCTTTGAGGCAGGGACCCAATCACTCCACTTTCTGTATTTCTCATTATGTTTTGCACATAGTAACTGCTCAATTAATAATAGTCTCAGTAAGGTAATTTACCATGTAGATATGTTCCTAATATACAGAGTGGAACTACACACAAGGCCTTTCTCTTTTCTCATAAGTTATCCTTGGAAAGTGAAACGATGCTTTCACGCTGTTTCTCACTTTCCTCCAACTGCGTTTTAGGCCAGAAGCAGAGGTATTAAAGTCACACACAGTGCAGGTATCAGCCAGAGAGACAGAATTCACTAAAATTTAATCATAGCAGCTTTTAGCACAAAAAATATCTTTTCACAAGTGTAGAAATTATAGGCAGGAGAGATAACCTCATGAAAAGTTACTTTCACTAGCAAATATCTTTTTTCCTTTACACTCCGAAACAATTGACTAGAAACCTGCTAACTAGGAGAAGTCACATGCTTAAAATTTCACAATATTTTGTTGTCGTTTGAGTCAAGGTCTCCCTCTGTTGAGTGCAGTGGCATCATCACTCACTGCAACCTCCGCCTCTCGGATTCAAGGGATCCTTCTACTTCAGCCTCCTAGGTAGCTGGGACTACAGGTGCATGCCACCACACCCAGCTAATATTTTTGCATTTTTTGTAGAGACAGGGCTTTGCCATGTTGACCAGGCTGGTCTGGAACTCCCAGGCTCAAGCGATCTGCCCAGTTTGGCCTCCTAAAGTGCTGGTATTACAGGCGTGAGTCACCACGCCTGGCCTACTTCACAATATTTTGTTCAACAACATTTTGAATGTGCACTATCTGAAATAAAAAGTATAAATGTTTTCCTGGTTATTTGAAATGCTCCATTTTCTACTTCACAAAACCATCATTTTTAAAGTCTGCTCATTCACTGAACGAGGTATACAAAGCTATTCTTTTTGAAGGTATAGCTCTTCTAAAGCTTCATTAGGTTGTTAGTCACATGTATTAACATGTACAGGAGGCAGACCTGCAGATGAGCAATTTAGAAGGGAAAATAGTACTCACCTTGCTCTGCATCGGTTCTTCCTCATTTTTGCAATTTCTTATGTTAAATAAATCTACATATATTAATCTACCTTGTATACATTTTAAAACATTTGAAAGAGAAGAATGCAGATAACTCTTCTCAACTTAGCTATTTTATTCAATACTGAGATATTTCATAACACGATCTGTGGATGGCAGAAAATGGAATTTGAAATGAGTTCTAATTCTTATTAACATGAGAACACAGGCATACATCTTAAGTACAGTTTTTGTAAAATTGATGTCACAATTTTTATTATGCAAGAATGTTATGAGAAGAAATATATTTAACATATCAAATCCTAGTTTATTGCTGATGTTTAGTTAGTAGTAGTATTCCTGCCTATATTAACACTTACACATACACAATTATATTACTGTTTTTTAATTATGAAAAAGCATTTATTTACATACCAGTAATAATTACACCAGCATTTAGCTAAGCAAGTACACAGGCATGATCTCTGCATTCGCAAAATATTTCAACTTAAAGTTGATGTAAGTAGATATCTGAAAGAAGTTATAAATAAATAGCTACATAAACATGAAAGAAAAAGAATAGGTGAAGTCTTTGCCCTGTGTCTCAGGATTAATTCAAAGTTTCCTTGCTGAAAAGAGGAAGACATCCCATTAATCAGATTTCTTTTTCCAAGTTCTTCCTTTTTATAGGAATTGGCAGGAAAGGTCTTTGGCTAAAATACAGCTTAAGATTCGTGTACTGTGGCTGAGCTGTAGGCTGCATCCTAGAAGAGCCTTAAACATAAGTAAAAATAGGTCTGAGGGTTGAGGAAAAAGAAGAGAAAGAATATAGTGACAATGAATCACGGACTCTTAGCTCTACAGACCTTAAAGACAAGGCAAACCAAATCCCTCATTTTATAATGAGGAAACTGGGGCCCACACAGCTGAAGTGACTTGCTCAAGGCCACATACTGGGATTACAGCCGAAGAATCTTTGCATGTAAATCCTATGTGATTTAAAAAGAAATAAATATGAAGATCTTACTAGATATGGGCTGCTAACCAGATGGGAAACTGTGTTTGGAATTGCTGGTAAACTGGAATCAATTTGTTTAGCAAGTGGTAAGAATATACAAACATGGGGAATGTTTTAGGCAACGAAAAAGAATGTCATGTGAAGAATATGTACCTAATATAAATGGCAATTTTGACAGTGGTTCTGTTGATTCAAGTTTTTTGTGGGTTTAAATCTCTTTACAGACAAGGATGAAACTTTAATTCTCAATCTATATAAATTATCAGGCTATTATTTCAAAGAACACAAAAGAATAGTAATAGAGAAATGTACACTTGGATTTGGTCATTCTCCTCACACTGGAGGGAAAATTTTGCCTTGAATAGCATGAATAATGAGAACAGGAACTTTTCAAACATTTTCAATATTGCCAGCCAATGGGAGAGGCTGATAATCAAAATGAAATTTTGTATTCTTTTCAAATCACCATATATTAAATATCCAAGATAGTATTAAAACCCTCTCATAAATGTTGCCATGATGTTCTATTTACAAAATTTCTTTGGGAACAACTTTCATTCTATTAAAGTCTTTCATTATCTGGAAAGCAAAGAACTAAAGAAAGGACTTTAAAGATAATCTAATAGTCTAATAGTCCTTCAATGTAAGGGTATATTAGAATCATATGGAGGCTCCTAAAACATAGATTTCAGAGCACTACCTCCCAGAGTTCCCGGTTCAGGAGGTCTGGGGTGAGATCTAAGAATATGTATTTCTGACAGATTCACAGGCAATGTTGACAATGCTGATCCAGGTACCACCGTTTGGGAATGACTAATCTAGTCAAACTATCTATTATTAGTCTAATTACCTTCTTTTTGATTCAGGTAGACAAATTCTAGTATTCTTGGAACTTATTATTTAAACTTTTTTTCTCAACTCCTCCAACAACCAATTTGTTCTGTTTCTGATGTTGTCACTATACTCATCACCTATTAAGCTGATTTCAGGTATATTCTACTAAAATATTGAACCAAAACAATCACGCAAACTAAGTCTCTTGTTCTTGGTACGGTTGCATATATAAATGCTATCTTTTGCATAATTAATACGGAAAGAAAAATCACCAAGAACATTTTCAATTCCAACTATACCACATCAAATGGACATTTGGGTCTCCTGTGGCTTCTGCAAAGGGAACACATAGAGAATTCTTCAGGGACACTGGAGGACTAAAGCAGAGCACAGAAGTGATATGCTACTACTGTAAGAGAAATGGGATTATTATCTCCAGAGAGCTTATGTTATTGCTGGAAAAATACTTCAAGAGTGTCAAATCTTAAAGCTTACATAAAAAAGATCAAATAAGTATTGTAGCATTTCACAATGATCTGATGATTCCCGTAGTATCAGCTAATCAGTGGGAAAAAAGTAAAGTGACCAAAAAATAGTTATCTTGAAATGACAAAATATCCTAGCAGTTGTCAAAATTAATATGATAATATACAGGCCAGGTGAGGTGGCTCACGCCTGTAATCCCAGCACTTTGAGGCCGAGGTGGGCAGATCACTTGAGGTCAGGAGTTCAAGACCAGCCTGGGCAACATGGTGAAACCCCATCTCTCCTAAAAATACAAAAAGCAGTGGGGCGTAGTGGCGCATGCCTGTAATCTCAGCTCCTTGGGAGGCTGAGGCACGAGAATCGCTTGAACCTGGGAGGCAGAGGTTGTGGTGAGCCAAAATCATGCCACTGCACTCCAGCAAGGGTGACAGAGTGAGAATCCATCTCGAAGTAAATAAATAAATAAATAAAAATAATTAATATGATAATATACAAATCAGGGCTGCTGCAATGGAATGTGAAGAAAATAGAAAATGTTTGCTAAATCCATCATCTCCCATGATATGTATACGTGCCCATGAACATATACACATACACACTCACATACAAACTTTTCCTAGATACACACACAGAACCTTTACTCAAAGCATTTTGTTCCTAGTTACGGAATAAAGATATTGAAAAATGCATTTTCATTAATGTGATAAAGCATAATAAATTACTCCTGCCAGATGTGATGTGACATGTACATATTTTCTTAAAAGAGCTGTAGAAATGGGCAAAGATCACACACACACACACACACACACACACACACACACACACAGTTAATTAACGGATCCTCCAAGACACCAATCTTCAAATATTACTGAGCATTTAATAAGTGTTATGAGAAATAATACCAAAAACAGAAGAATGAGATAATAAACTACAGATGAGAAATAAAGACTTATACACATAAAAAGACAACTCTAGACAGTAAATATTTGGGTTCAGAAGCAGAAGAACCATCAAGTAATCAAAGACTGCACTACTCTGGATGAACTTGATGTGAGCTGGATCATCTCCACAGGCTGAATTTTCTTAGGCAGAGCGGAAGGAGGGAAGGAAGAGGACAGCCCAAATGAGGGCATCATTTAGCAGGGATGAAGGCATAAAGAAAAGGTATTGACTACACCAGTGTGTCTCTATACTTCTCTGAATCAAAGAGTTGATGCCAGAGCATGTGAAGAACAAAGCATGCTGTAGAGTTGTCGCATAAGATTGTGGAGGAACTTAAATGTGGAAAGAATAAAAGAATGCCAGAAAAACTGCATGTTAACAAAACCTACTGACAACATTAGAAAAGGAAATATTGAGATAGTGGAGAGAGAATTTTCCTGGAGACCTCAAAACCATAAATGAGAGATAATACTGAAGACCTACTCCATTTGGCTTTACATGGCCATAGCTTTCAGGGACTCAGATACCGTAGGCACTGAATGTCAAAAGAGAGGTTGCATTTAGAACTCAGGCAGCAGCCTCTCATACTGCACTCTATAGATCAATTTTAGTTTAATGAGATTTAATTTTAAAATCCTTAGGTTTTATCTTTAGCACTTCAACACACTGAAAATGCTTCCAGGTTTTGATTTACAGAATTACTGTCACTGTCAATAAAAGAAATGTGCCTGACACACCAAAATCCAGTTTAATTACTTCTGTAATGTCTCCTGCAGCTAAGAGGAAATGGTATTTCTCTGACACTTTTCTGTTTTTAATTTAGCAAAATGGAGCACTTTCCCTTAATAGGACCTGGGACAGCAGATTCAGAATTGATGTCATCAAAGATGGACCCCACAGTTTCAGCAACACTGTCTTACTCTGACTGTGCAATGATTGCATGAATCTGGATCCTTGGTATTGGATTCCTTGAAGCTGGGCACTCATCAAAGATTTGACACGGAATCATGGCTGGGATATTTAGACATTATGTCATCACTTGGAGAAGCTTTGCAAGCAAATTCAACAGCCTGCTTCTACCTAGAACTCTTAACAATGTCAGCATTGCCCTGAACTGCTGGAATCCAGATGAGGCCTTGAAAGCTTCCAAATAGAACTGCCAAATATCAAAATATACACTGTACCACTGGAGTGAAGAAACCAAGAAAAAATGTGTACTTTATATCTTCTGCTACATATTCCATCTGCTTCTCTCCCTAAAGGGTCATATGTTATATATTTATAAGAAGTGTTCACACCTACGCGAACAGTTTCCACTGTCTCCTTCAAATACAGCCTCCTCCTTGTTCAAGACCCATTTTTTTAAATTCTTCTATGGTAGCTGAACCTTTTATGAAACTTGTTCCATTCTGAAATCATTTCAAGTTAAGAAATGCCCTTGTACCTTCCTATCTCACCAAATCCTGGGGAGATTAAGCCTCACACTCTATAGGCCTTTTTCTGAGAGATGTGAATTTAGATCATTAGGGTCATTAAAATCACACAATCTATAATACTCAGAGCTAACATATCACCTTTGTGCTTTATGCTGCTATAGAATGCTACAAGAGAGTTAAAACACGTATAGCATCACAGAACTGTAGAGAAGGCCATAATTCCTCCCCATAAAAGAATTCTATACTTTTTAACTGGCACAGTAAATCTCATTAAAGACACAGAATGCTTTGTTCAGGGAAGCAAAAGGGATCCCTGGGCAAGGTGCGTTTCCTTCACAGTAATATTTTTTTTCCTTATGACTTGAATTATTCCTTAATGCAAGCACAATGTTATTTTTATCTTGACCTTTTTTCTGGACTCTACATGTTTCCCCAGGCTTTTTTTCCCTTCCCTACAAAAATGAGGGGCCCTTGGTCTTCACTATTAATCTTGTATTAACTTTTAATACACTGGGCTTCATGCATCCTCTTGTATTTCTCTGTGTATCTACCAAAGACCTTCATAGGCCACACTAATAACCTCCGACTTAGTCTTTTTTTCTTTCTGCCTCAACAACTGTATAAAGAATAAACTCAGGTATAATTAACATAATAAATCATTTGGTGCACATTCATTGGTCAACACAATTCTGAATCTTAACAGTTAATTTCCCACTATACAGATTGTGAATCTGATTCACATAAAAGTACTTTGGGAAGTATTTTGTCTGATTTCACTATCAAATATTAGATTATTATTTTTGAGAAACTCAGAAAGGCTGTCATGGAAAAATCACAGAAAATTCCCATCTCTCTTTCATAATCAGTACCTTTTTAATAACAGAGCTGGAAGTTAATGACAGTATGCTTTTGACAGCTCACTCTGAAATTTTAACTCATCTGTAGAAGTGCCAACTGAGCAGTTGAGGGGAAAAGCATAAGGTTTAAATTTACATCTAAGAATTAAGAGTGAGAAAAGCATGGAAAAACATTACACAGTGTTAAAGTGCACTTATTACTAATTTCTCTAGGGAATTTTGCAGCTAGGGAATTTCAGTTGCATTATTATTGAATCTATCCCCCTTTAACAGAGACTGTGGGTACAGAAAAGAATATGGCCTTGAAGGCAGACGCATTCAAGTTCTGTTTGTGCCAACTACTAACCATTTCAGCCCAAAGAAGTTACTTAAAATATTCATACCTCACAATCAGCAAAGGGAAGAGACAATCTAAAGAACTGGAGAAAATATTTGCAGACTATTAATCCAAAGAAAAAGTAATAACCAGAATACATAAAGAACTCAAACAATTCAATCATAAAATAATTATAACAAATAATTGAATTTTTAAAATGGGCAAAAGAAGACATTCCTCAAAAGAAGACATATAAATGGTCAACAGGAATATAAAAAAAATGCTTGATATCACTAATCATCAGAGAAATGCAAAAATCACATTAAGACATCAAAATCAAAATCACAATGAGATAGCATCTCACTCCAGTTAATATGGCTATTATAAAAAAGACATAAAATAACACATGCTGGCAAAAATTTGGAAAAAGAGAAATGCTTGTACACTGCTGGTGGAAATGTGAATTAGTACAACCACTATGGAGAATAGCTTGGTGGTTCCTCAAAAAATCAAACACATAACTACCGTATGATCCAGCAATCTCACTGCTGAGTATATATCCAAAAGAAAGGAAATCAGTATATCGAAGAGATAATTGCATTCCCATGTTTACTGCAGCACTATTCACAATAACCAAGATAAGAAATCAACCTAAGAATCTGTGGATAAACGGATAAAGAAAAAAATGGTATATATATTCCAATACGAGTTGAACTGGAGGTCATTATGTTAAGTGAAACAAGCCAGGCTCAGAAAGACAAATATCGCATGTTCTCACTCATATGTGCGAGCTAGTAAAATTGACCTCTTGGAGACAGTGAATAGAGTAGAATAGGTGGTAACCAGAGGCCATAAAGGGTAGAAAGGTGGAGAGGATGAAGAGGGGTTGGTTGATGTATACAAAGATAAAGATAAGTAGAAGAAATAAGAGTAGTGTTTGATAACACAATATGGCAAATACAGTTAACAATATTTTATTGCATATTTCAAAATAGCTAGAAGAGTGGAATTGGAATGTTCCCAACAAAAATAAGTGATAAATATTTTAAATGATGGATACCCAATTACCCAGATTTGATCATTACACATTGTGTGCTTATATTAAAATACCACATGTACCCCCTAAATATGTACAACTATCATGTATTCATAATTTTTTTTTTTTTTGAGATGGAGTTTCACTTTTGTTGCCCAGGCTGGAGTGCAATGGCACAATCTTGGCTCACTGCAACCTCCTCCTCTCGGGTTCAAGTGATTCTGCTACCTCAGCCTCCTGAGTAGCTGGAATTACAGGCATGTACCACCAGGCCCAGCTAATTTTTTTGTATTTTTAGTAGAGATGGTGTTTCACCATATTGGCCAGGATGGTCTCGAACTCCTAATCTTGTGATCCATCTGCCTCAGCTTCCCAAAGTGCTGGGATTACAGGCATGAGTCACTGTGCCCGGCATAAAATTTTAAAAAATCTATTTATGCTTCAGTATTCTTCTTTTTACATTTAAAGTAATCAGATATTTTTGGAGAAAAGGTAAAGCTTATAAAATTTAAATGGCATGCATATAATACATATTAATTATGATATTAGCACTGAAATATGTTGATGTAATCTACATAAATTTTTTGTAGTTCTTTTTATGCACTAGCTAGGCATATCCACAGCAACAAAGTATAGAAACAACCTAGGCCTGATCTAACACTTCTTTCCAAATCCAATCATAATTATATTATTTTAAAATAAAAGATTTCATAAATTATAAGGTAATTATGTGTAATCCTATACTTTAAAAACACTCCTGATAATTTGATTTCATAAAGTGGGAGAAGTATTTAACCGTTTGCTCTCTTCAAATATCTTCCTGATTAATAAAATGATACTAAGTATTTTTTTACTTTTATTTTAGATCCAGAGGTACATGTGAAAGTTTGTTACATAGGTAAACTTGTGTCACATGGGTTTGTTGTACAGATCACTTCATCACCCAGGTATTAAGCCTAGTAGCCAATAATTATTTTTTCTGCTCCTCTCCCTCTTCCCACTCCACCCTCAAGTAGACTGTGGTGTCTGCTGCTCCCTTCTTTGCGTTCATGAGTTCACGTAGTTTAGCTCCCACTTACAAATGGGAACATGTGGTATTTGGTTTTCTGTTCCTGCATTCATTTGCTAAGGAAAATAGCCTCCAGCTCCATCCATTATCCCACAAAAGACATTATCTCATTTCTTTTTATGTTTGCATGGTATTCTATGGTGTATATGTACCACATTTTCTTTATTCAATCTGTCATACTAAGCCATTTATTATTTGTACTTATTTGGTATTGTGCAAGGTTCTGATAATTCACTGTGATTTATCTTCAGTTTGTTCACACGGGCTTTTGGTACATCATTTTTAGAGAAGTAAAATCTATATAAAAAGTAAAATTAAACTTAATGGCTCCAAGTGTCAACAGTTAGCACCTCTGATTAAGGCAGTATCCCCATCCTGCCTTGATTCTGCACCTGTTGTGTTGCTACAGATGGAAGTAACATGATAAACACGGATATATAATGCATTCGCATGGAAAAAAAACATTCAGATGAGGCTATCTATTTGAATAGCATTTAGTGATAACTAAAACCATTGTCTTTCCTTGAGAATAGTTAGTCAAGGTGACTAGCAAAACCTCCTCTGAATGCAGCTCTGGTTAGCTGGGCTCTGGTGAGATAGGATAGTGTTACCACAGTAAGACCAACATTGAAAGCCACCTCCATATTTACCTATAAGATCGATGATGAAGAGTGCTAACATTTGAGCCAAATTAAGGTCTACACAGACAGAGTTTTAATGAAGCCAGAAAAATTAGAGCATACTAGCAGGAAAATCCATAGGTGAAGAAAACATTCTGACTGGGTTTGCTTCCTTTTTGATTTCTAGGGGCCAAGGTGGCAGAATTCACAGACTAAAAGGCTGCTGAGAGTTGAATCATCAAGCTGCTCAACAGTGCAAGGGACTAACATAGATAATTCAAATACAGCATTACTCTATTCCCTTTTTTGTTGTTTTTCTCCCCACCTAAATTTTCTCATATAGATACAGACTGAAACTATTATTCAGCTGCCCAACAATAATATAAAAAGACCAATGCTTCCATTTATGCATCTACTTTTATGATGTCAATTCTAAAAAGAAGAACAAAGATAAGTTTACGTAAAATAGTAGCAGATAGCACTTCTATGACATATTACATTTCTCTGTCATACATTATGCTTTATTTTCTGTCCTTCATTACATTTTCTTACTTAGTAGGAAAAATATTTTAATCCTTTATCATTCACCTGAGGCAGGTCTGACCCTGTTTCCCCATAGTTTTTTTAAGGTGTTTTCAGTAAAGATTGCTTATGAATTGCTTTAAACAGCTTAAGGGCTTCCACTTAGAAAAAATTCAAGGTTAATAAGATTCATCATACTCACAAAGAGTATCTGGTTGTGGACATAGCTACTTGCTAAATTTTATTCAGCCCTAAGTGACACCAGCAGCAAATCAGCTCACAGCTTAATACTACTGGCAACTCTAAATGGGAGAGAAGTAACATTACTCAGATCCAGGTTTTTAAAAATATATGTTATGATTCACTTCCATTAGTTCATATATTGATGCTCAGACACTGGATATTGGATTCTCTTTCAAACAACAAAAGAAGCTGAGAAACAAAGCTGAAGATATTTTTAAATGTCATGGTAAAAAGTCACAGGGAAGTGTATTTTATCCTCATTTCAGCGAATGTTTCTAACTCTCATATGAAAGATACAATAAATTCCTATCAGAAAGATTTTCTCTTGGCAAAGTTTAGGATTCTGAAAACAGCCTTTTAATAAAACAGCACCCACACCCTCCTAAGCTGTAGCACCAAAATAACAGCACTATGTTATATTCTTCCCTTATGGTAACAGACACTGTTGAAGCTGAACTGTAATTTGGCATACAACATTTCTATACTAATGTAATGTGACAATGTTATTATGTTCGCTATTTTGCATACGGTCATAGCCATGTTCATCTTCTCCAACCTGACATTAAGTTAGCTTAATATGGTAACATTCTATTCCGGACCACTGGGTAAAAGGAGAAAAGGATTATTGTGTAGCACACTGGTGTGATGATGGTGGACGAATGTGTAAGTATTAATAGGTGATATATAAAATTTACAATGAATGTAAACTTTTAGCACAGAACTGGCACATAGTAAGTGCTCAGCAAATGGTTACATCCAAGAGAAATTTCATAAACAGCTACACCATACAATGTAGTCCAGCACACTGTTTCCTACAATTTCAGAAGAGGGAAAAATAATGTCAAGCTCAGAAAACAAAGGAAGTTTCCATGGGACAAAAGAGTTTTAGTAGAGATTGAAAAGGAAATTATATTTCTTCAAGCAGACATAGTGAAAGAATGCATTCCAGGTGGAATGAATGCATTTTCCAGGTGGGGAAATTAGCATAAGCAATGGTGAGGAAATTGGAAAGTGTAATGTTGTTCAGAAAGCTGTAAGTAAATTGGCAGTAATATGCCATATGGACAAGGTTCTGCAACAGATAAGTATGAACATGAAGGCTGGGGTCAGACCATTGAGGTCCACGAATTCCACATTGACTAACTTGGAGAGTAGTATTGGACACTGAGGATATATTTGAAATTCTTCTGCAAGATGCATGTGTCTAGCACGCTTTGATTTTAGTGAGTTATTACAATTACATGCAGCATGCTATAAAAACACTGGGCTTATAAACCAAGAAAACAGAGAAGAATGTTATTCCTAGTAGAAGTATAGAGTCTTATAGGGAGGTAAGACTAAACATAGGTAACTATAAGGAAAAAGTGATGGCAAATTAAATAGTATAAACAAAATTCTATAGGAAGCCAGAGGAGAAAAAAAATATTGCCTCTGGTTAGGAGAATTAGGAGAGACTGATGACATTTAAACTAGGAAGAATAGAAAGAAAGAACAAAACTGGCAGAGAGGCACAGAATGGATCAGAGGAAAGAGGAATAAGAAATGGGAGATAACTAAGAAATTACATGATATACCAGAAAAATTATACAGAGGATCTAAAATTTGGTATTGATATGGAAGAAAACTTGAAGAGGTGAGTATATGACATTACCCTGTACACACACCTGCATATCCACATACACACATGCACAAAACAATTGTTTTTGTCAGTGAGTAGGTCACTTAGATGGCAATTTTCCGGGGAAGAAAGGGTTTAACAAACATTTCATTAAAAATAGCCTTTGGCATCATTTTGAATAGCACTTCTTTTTGAAAGATTCCTTTCAGTTCAATTAATTAGTATGATTTATCCAAGATTACATTTACAAGCTACAAAGTATTCCCATCTTCCCATTGTTAATTATATCTCCAGGCTAATATAAATACATTTTTTCTAGTTACCCTAACCCACTCTATAAACCTTATCAGCGAGATGACATTTAGAAATTCTATTTTGGGGGAGGGAAGGTCTCATTTGTAATGTGGCATGTTCGTTTCCCCATTAAAAAGTTTTGTTTCTATTTTCTTTTTTGTTTTCTATGTAATTGGAGGCTGCAATCACAGAATTTATGAAAAAATAAACTAGAGATGAAAATTTCATTAAGAAGTGAAATGCCTTAAATGGCTTTATTTTAAAAGAAAAATCAGCTTCTATACAGAAAAGGAGTTTGTTAAAACCCCAGGAATCACACTAATTCTATTTGTGCATCTTAGAGAAAAACAGTGAGATGTACAGACAAGATTTATTTTGATCAATTTAAAAAGTGAGGAAAGTGTTGCATGCTATTTCTATTGCTTATTAATTCCACGTCTTCAAAGTAACAATTGCTACTATATCTTCTACCAATTATAATTGATACAAAATAAGATTTGCTTTTGAATATTGATTTGTACCTATGTATTCTCACCACTGAAACTCCAACGTATAAGCCAAGGAACCATTTCACATTTTCAGAAAACCCACTAACAGGTAATGATTTAATCAAAATGCATGTATTCTGAGAGCTCTCTAAAGTAATTTTAATGCTGATTTGTGCAAGAGGCATATCAGGAGACACATTTATTGAATGACATTTACCTATTTACAAGAAAATAACGAATAGCCTTATCATTGTCATCACCAGTACTATCACCCAAGAGCAGCATTAAAATAGTTTTCTGTAAAAATCATTCGAAGACAGCATGATACTTATGGTTGTATCTTGGTGTTTCTTTAGGGAAAGTCTAACAAATACATACACAAAATTATATTCTTTATATTTAACTGGTATATGAGGATACACAGTCTGCCACAACCAAATGGCAACTGTATGTAAAACATGGAAACTACATTAAGCATAGTTTGGCAGAAAAAGTTCTTTAGCAACATGAAAAATATTTTCACACCAAAAAAATCCCTCTCAACTACCACATGTAGTCATACATCTGTCAGGATTGTATTCAGGATGAAAAATTTGCGATAATAAAATCTTAACAAGTATTCAGTCTTCTGATTGTCCTTGAAAATAAATTTACGCCATTTTCTGTGAGGCAGGAACAAATGCAGGAAGTAATTTACCTATACACACATATACATATCCTTATGAAAAGCACATGTAAGGCTGCTATATGTATATATATTTATTAAGACTTTATGTAAAGTTGTTTATATAACTCAAAATGGCGTTATTGTGTTTTAAGTGTGATTTGGCTTGCAGAGTGTTCGCAAATGTATGATAGTTTGAATACATGTTTATTGCTTCAGGTTTACTGTAATTCTATGGGAGAGGAAACTAGTAAAATGAAGAACAAATATTTCTCCATCTACAGTGGCATGGTTGTTAAAGGCCTCTTCCACATATGTTTTAACTCTGTATTGGTTGTGCGTTTTTCCAATAGTCAATATTTTGGAAAGGAAACCTAAAGACAGCAGGTAAATTGTACTTTATTGCTAGGCTGCAACAACTCAGTTCAGAGGATTACTGTAGCTTTACCCCATCTTCTACATTGCGATGCACATATCTGTTGACATGAATACAGTCTCAAATAGACAAAGGTCAAAATGAACAAGCTCTACTCTTTCTTTAAATCCACATTCAAATTCAGCCTCTGCTACAAAATCTAAACCTTCAACCGTTGCATCTTCTATTCCATCATCCTGGAGGTTTAGCTTAAGTGTTGTAGCACTGACAACATATAGCACGTATTCTATTTTACAACCAGGTCAATTTGTCAGGAATATTCTCTTAATATAGCAGAATGCAATGTTTTGTATGAAATTCTTTTATCATTTTGATGATGTGCTGTAAATCAGGACCTATTAGAACATTAAGACACAGAACTTCATCTTATAGATCAGTTAATTCCATCTTCAAACCCTCACTGCTGTGATATAAATTAGGCACTAGCAGATATGCCATGATATAATGTGAATCATGTGTTTTATTTTCATGCTTATATTGTAATACTTAGTTAAAGGATTTTAAGGGGAAAAACATAAGTTGCTAAGATACAAGGGAGAATGGCTGAAGGGACAATGTTTGAACATATTTTTTTAAAAGTAAAAGGCAGCAATGGGCTTAAAGAGATGTACGCAGAGAGAAAAATGAGACCTGTAACCATTCAGTAAAATTACAGCCCTCGAGACATAATCATATGAAATTAAGTATTATTTAATATAAAACAATATGAAGGTTCTTTCAAAAACCAAGGGAGAATTGTCATATATTGGAAATGAAAAACATTCTTTTGAACAAGGTGATCATTAGTAATTAAAAAATAACAATAAACCCAAAAACCAAAGAATCACCATCATCACAGGATTTAGCCACTTTAACAATTAGTATTTCAAAACTGTCCTTTCCGTAGAAACAACTGCTTCTATGGGTTATGACAGTTCGACTGACTCAGAGTTAATATAAGGACTTTCAGTGTTAGACTTTAGATATCAAACAGTAACTGGAAGCAACGATGAGTATCAGTCCATACTCAGAGAGGTACTTACGGTCATTGCAGAGTGGTCCACTGAAGGAAGTCATACTACAGTCACAGCTGAAGCCATCCCATTGTTGCAAGCACACACCTTGATTGGAACATGAGTCCTCTTGGCAGGTTGTGCTGGGCCCTGCAAAACAATCCAAAGGAAACTTGGGTTCTTTAAAAGAATCCAAAAGCATTTTATACATGAGCTAGATCACATGTAGTAGTTGCCAACACCACAGATGATATGTCCAAACTAGTTTTTAAAGTTCTAGTTCACACACCTGAATTAGGAACTGAGAGGCTGTAATATGAAGGTTTTCTTAAGTTTCAAGTATAGGATAAAATACATTATAATCATAAACTAAACCAACAAATAGCAAAAACAAGCACATAGCTTCTAGTATGATTATTGTAGCAGGTAATCTCATTCCAACTTCAATAATTCTTTATCACTATTTTGATTTTAGAAAATGAATGGATCTCCTTAACATTCTGACCAATGAATAGAGACATAATGAGAAATGGAGATTATAACTTCATGAAATTGAGATAAGATTGGCAAAATAACTGAAGAGAGTTATGCAAAAATGCCCTAGAGGTTTCCAAACGATAAAGTTATGATTGCTGGGTGTTTTGAATAGGTATGTTGGCAAGTATCAATTCACATGCTTTTAACAATTTCATGCAATTAAACATAAAATTAAAAACTCCATATAAATGGCATGCCCTCAATAAACATACAAGTAAAAAGAATGCTAGTCTATTTCTAAAGAATCATAACTAGAACACTGAAAAACAAAGAACTAAAAAAAGCATGATCAAAGCACTAAAGGCAATCACTATACAAACATATTCAAGACTGAAAGCCTTTATACAAACTATGCTACAAAGTTAGGCTTCTTGCACAACGTTCAAGAAAGGAAAAGAATGAAATCTGAACCCAAATAACAGTTACTGCAGAAATGTAAAATATGTTATTTTAGGGTTTCCACTGTGTATTATGGGGTTTCAGTCTTGTTATATACACACAGGGCTATCTACCTTGCAAGTCAGCTTTCATCAATGCAACTTTGTCAGCAAAATAAAAAAAAAAGCAAAATATATTAAATGTTAGTAAGCAATACTGAAATGGGGCAAACACAGAAGAATGTTCAGATTCAAAAGGCATGCTGCTGTAAAGAGGGAGAAAAATGCTATGTAGAGCAAACAAATTAATACTAACAGCCATAAATCTTAAGAGAAGCCAAAAATGAGAAAGCAGAAATTTATTAGAATTTAATTGTACATATGTATATATATAATGGTTAATTGAGCCAATGACATGTAATGAAGGAAAATTAAAAGGGCCTTTGTATGTTTCCTCTCTTGGATAGATATGAATGCATTACCAAAGTGACTGTGTTGCTTATTTGGAACATGCAGCACCATTCATCATGTGCAGATACAGTGTAGACTATGATCAGTAGCAAAGCAATTATCCCTTTCTATGTTTTTCCCTCTAGATCCTTTATCTTTCTGTTGCAATTAAGGCTTCAAACCGTAATGCCAGCCATTCACTGACAACAGCTGGACTTTAGAGTGACACCAACCAAATGCTGCATAAATGATACTGTATATCATTTAGAGTGGATGAAAGAAGTAGGAAGGATGGAAGAAATAAACTGCAATATAATCCATCATAAAGGAATTTTCTGAATAAAATTTCCATGTGCAGCGTTTATCCTTGAACTTACCAGATTGGGTATATGCCACTTATGAATTTCAGAGTTACGTCTGTATTTTCTACACTTTCACAAGTATTTTCAACTCTTATAAACTTCCCTGTGGAATAACTGTTACAGTAAAACCTCACTAATAAGAACCTATCTTAGAGGAGGGTGAAAAGGGAATACAGTCTACCTAAATAGCTTTAGAGTATAAACTAAATATATTTTCTAGTAAATAAACATATAGGTTTTATAAAAATAGAAAAAAAGACAACAGCTAATTAGATGCTATTAATGTAAAAGAGAGAGCCTCTGAGGTGCCTGCTTTAGTGAATAAATTAGAATTTTCTGTAATTATATTTTGTATAAATAGATGATTTTGAAAATGGCTTCTAAACATGTACCTTACAATCACATTTGTATTATAAATTTTTAGTAAAGATACTCTTTATTGAATGTTATTGAATTTAGCCTAGCCTCTGAGAATTCACAAATTCAGAAACCATGATATTGTAAATCTTAATTCTGTAATAATAATAATAATAACAGCAATAATTGTAACAATAATTAAAACAAAAATAGTAGTTTATATAAGTAGTAATATAATAAGAAGACCTCCCAAATCCAGGAAACCTGAAGAGAGTAACAGTTGTTTTTTTCAACTTAGTTATTTGTAATAAAGAACTAAGAACTAACAAAGAACTAAGAACTAACAAAGAACTAAGAACCACTAAACTCAACTTAGTTCTTTGTAGTAAAGAAATAAGAACCACTTAATTGCTTAGTTTTAATTTTTGTTCCAAACTGTGAGAGGGAAGTGGTCTACTGATCCTTATCCCATGGCATTAGAGATCAAAAATAATTAGCATATTTTTAAAAATAAAATCTCTCAAAGCAATATTCCTTAGCATATTTCTTCCAGTGTTAAGCAAATAAACAGGGAGTAATACAAGCCCAGTTTGGGGAGATGCCATTTTATCAAATAGCTATTTGCTCTCTGACCTGCACAGCAGAAGAAAAGGTCAGAAGCAAGAACTAATGAAGATCCAGATTTTGGTTTTTGTTTTTTCAAAAATTATCAGAAATGCAATTGAGAAACAATGCTAAACTCTAAAAATAGTAAAACTACAATCTTAGAAAAATAATCTGCCCATATTGTAGAGCAGCAACTCAGAGTACCTGCCAAGCTTCTATGTAAGCATACAGACGTGCTGTATTTTATTTTCATTATCACAATAGTCTTTATATTCAGGAATTACAAGACAATGCATGCCTTTGCCTGACAAGACACATTTTTCAAAGTACTCACCTTCTAGACAATACTTAAACATTGACAGGTATTACACAAGAGAGAGCCTTAAATTTATTTTTCTTTTTAGTTATGTAATATTATCTTTATTTTATCACTGAATAAAATTAGGAAAAAGCTACAAGGACATTTGTATTAAGTTATTTAAATTAATAATATGTCTAAAAGGGAAAGAAAAATGAAGATAAAACTACAATTTCCAGAAACAAAAGAAATGATACACAAAAGAGGTTAGGTGTCTCTGCTTTCAAGTAAGGTAAACTTGAGTTTGAAACTTGTGTCATCCACTTACTAGGTGTGGGACTTTAGGAATGTCACCTTACTTTTCTGAGGTTCAATTTACTCATTAAAAAAAGGCAATGATACCTATTGTATAGAGTCTTGATGATTTAATGAGATAGTATAGGTAAACATATTCCCACCAGTGTTTAATCAATGATAGCTGTCACGATTAAACAGAAAATTATTCCTGTAGATATAATGGAGCCTAGAGCTGAATGTTACAGTTGTACAAAAAGAGCATCTATTAAAATTTCACTCTGATTTTATGTAGAGATATTATCTTGACTTTAGTGGGCCTGCTTATTGGTTGAATTCCAGTGCCCATTTTCTGCTACATAAACAGAAAAAAGCCATCCAAAGTATGGTCTCCAGTATAACAGCATCAGCATCACTTGGGAACTTGTTAGAAATGGAAATTCTAGGGCTCTATCTCAGATCTATTGAATTAGAAACCCTGGGGGTTGTAATCTAGTGATTTGGGTTTTAATGATTCTGTAAGTGATTCTGATATAGGCTAACATTCAGGAGACAATAATCTAAGTAGACTTCGACGGGTTAAAATCCGTACTCTAGCTGAGGTGAATTTTATAAATAAAATGAACCATTACTCCCTGAAATAAATTAGAAATAAAAGGCAACAAGTGATTATTTAGGAAAGATCAAAAGTTTTTTGTATGCAAGAGGCTTAGAGGTGTGTGGGTGTATTGGATAGGAACAATGGAAACTCCTCACAAGATATTATTAGGTTATACCAAACATATGCTAAGTAGTCCTATCAATATGGAGCCTAAGTGATTCCAGTGTGGTTTGGACTCAAATTCCATGACATAACAATCTTTAGAAAGAGAATTTATTAGGTATCTACAGTTAAAACACTAATCCTAAAAAATGTGTGAATCTCATCAACTGTACCTGTAACAGGTAAATCTAAGATTATTCCTAGAAACTATACAGGTCAGAAATAATAGTAAATTAAAAGTTGTTCACCTTGATGTTGGAATGAAAGAATCAGGACAGAAAGTAATATTCTAAGAGTAAAGAAAAAAAGGGGTGTCAGGGTGTGAAAATTATAAAAGCTCAGATATATAAAGCATTCTAGATAAGGAAAGAACCAATGCCATAAGTGACTGGGTTCAAATGTTCAAATAATAGTTTAATGTGTAACTAATCATCTTAACCAAATTCCTTACTAGATTATGTGGGTAAACAACACCAAACATCATTACTGCAAATGCCCTTTGTTAGTATATCCTGCTCCTCTTAATCTACTTGCTTCCGCCCACTCACTCACATTACATACCAGTGGTGGGGGTCCTGTGTGTTTGCCTCTTATTTTCTATCTCATTGGGTATATCTGCCTGCTCTCACCATTTCTTGTAGGTGAGAAGTCACATACCAAACAACTTGTAGAAAGGCCTATTTTTAACAAATATGTTCCATAAGGGATTGTAATACCTTTCTTTAAAAAATAAAATAAAATAAAGGTACACATTCTCACTAATGAGATCACCTCCAAGAATTATTATGTTGTATCACATTCTTGTGTTCATCCACTAATGGGAATTGATCCCCTTAACAATTTTGTCTCTCTTAATTAAAATTAACTGAAAGGGAAAAAAACATAGTTTCCTTATGTTTTACAGAGGCATTATGCCAAAATATCAAATAAAGAAATATACTAATAACATTAAAAATGAACTCAACAACACCTTCCATTACTAACCTTATCCTCTAGTATTACTGAAATACAGTTTAAATTTCACCTAACATTTCATGGAAACACATGCTGCACAGAGGAAAAAAATGTATTTTCAAATATAAAATTTCCATGTACTTAAGTAATTGCTAAATATAACGACATTATTTTGGCTGAGAATAAATGATTCATAATCACCTGGGGGACAGGAATTCAAATTTCTTTCTTCTTCTCTCATATAAAACATCCTCATCCTCATAAATCTAAAATTTTCAAAATGGCCCAAACTGTGTTCAGTATTACAGGAGAGGCAGCAACACATGCAGAGCCACAAAATTCATGATAATGTGATTAAATTACATTTATGGAGGAAGAATTTGCTCAAATAATCTGAGGTGTTGAAGTGAAAATTATCTAAAATGAAAGTGGCAATCAAAAAGTACTCCTACAGATCTTGGTCTGATAGAGAGCACAAAAGAAAAGAAGATACTTCAGTGCATTTCTGATATAGGAATATTAGCCTGGGGTGATACAAGAAACTTGTTTTTGCTAAAACAGACTGAAAATATACAGGATACAGTGTTTCTGCCAGGTACACACCAACTGAATAGTGCTTTGAGAATGGGGTATCTGAACTTTTTTCTTTTGTTATATGCTATTGGATATAGATTTACTTATTTTTATTTTACTTTTTTTTTAATTTCAGTAGCTTTAGGTGTACAAGTGGTTTTCGGTTACATGGATGAACTATATAGTCGTGAAGTCTAACATTTCAGTGAACCTGTCACTCAAGTCTTGTACGTTGTACCCAATAGGTGTTTTTTCATCATTCAATCCCCTTCCCACGATTCCAGCTTGTGAGCCTCCAATGTCCCTTATACCATGCTGTATGCTTTTGTGCACCCATAGTGCAGCTCCCACTTATAAGTGAGTAACATGAAGCATTTGGTTTTCCATTCCTGAGTCACTTCACTTAGAATATTGGCCTCCAGTTCCATCCAAGTTGCTACAAAAGACATTATTTTGTTCTTTCTATGGCTAAGTAGTATTCTGTGGAATATACATACCACATTTTCTTTATCCACTCATTGGCTTTTGGGCACTTAGGTAGATTCCATATATCTGTAATTATGCATTGCGCAGTGATAAATATATGTTTGCAGATGTCTTTCTGACATAGTGACTTCTCTCACTATCCTTCACAAACTAATGCAGGAACAGAAAACCAAATACTGCCTGTTCTCACCTATAAATGAGAGCTAAATGAAGAGAACACATGAACACATAGAGGGGATCAACAGACACTGGGGCCTACTGGAGGGTGGAGAGTGTGAGGATGGAGAGGATCAGGAAAAATAACTAATGCGTACTAGGCTTAATACTTGAGTGGCAAAATCATCTGTACAAAAAACCCCTATGACACAAGTTGACCTACATAACAAACTTGCACATGTACCCCCTGGACTTAAAATTAAAACAAAAAGAATGTAGATTTTTAAAAAATGGGCACAAGTTGATTAATACTCGGTGGAGCAGTATTTGTTTAATGCTATAAAGCAAGCATCGTAGAACTGATTAACAAACTAATCAAATGTACTACATAGCTCAAAAACAAAAACAAAAACAAAAACAAAAGCAAAAACAGGCAAAAAAACCAAGATCCATAGATATACCTCCCATTTTACATTGGGCATTAATGTAGGCTTGCAAACAGTACAGAAAATTTAAGGTTTATGAGATAAAAAATTAAAAACTTGAATAAGGATGTCTAAGCCCAAATTGGGTATTTGACCAGTTATCAGAATTTTGCTGGACAGTGAGATTCACTCTCAGTTAGACAGGTGGAATTAGAATTATTTAGAGCATGATGACAAAAATCTAATACCTTCACATCCTCTCTCGATCTGTCCGTTGCAGAAAAGAGCATCGGAGATGAGGTCCGGAAGCCGTCCATTTAAATCAACTGATGCCAGGCAGCCTTGAAAGCCTTCTTTGGCATGTACAAGTTTTGGTAAGGATTTGTATGTTTCTTTAGCTACTCCTCCTATATATAAGTCACCTGCAAGAAGATCAAAGTCTTTGTTACAAAAGTACCATGTCATTGACTTTAAACACACAGTAGGATGGAGAAAAAACAGGGAGGTTTATTTTTCATTAAGTTAATAAAAAATTAATTTATGACTAGCTGTTTTCCCCAAAGTGCTAAACAATAGAGACGTTTGAATAATATACTGGCACTAGGAGACATTTCTAAAAGCTATTTCCATAGACAACTAAAGTAATTCCATATTATGTGGTCAAATTGAAGGAATGTGGGCTAGCTATAGAGATGCATACCCTTGCGTGGAAATCCAGGCCTGGTTATTTGCAAGCCCTACAGCCTTGTGTGTGTGTGTGTGTGTGTGTGTGTGTGTGTGTATATATATATATAAGTTTCTCTGATTATTAGTATCATTGTTTCTAAAATGGGAACAATAAAAACCTATGCCAGAGGGTTTCATGATGATTAAATGAGATGAAATATATCAAGCATCCACAAGAGCAAAAGTATAAAGTGGACACACAGTCAACAGGCATTATTATTAAATTCACCTTCTGCTTAGAGATCTCTGTGTCTTCCATTTCATCAGAAGTTCAGTAAATTTCTTCTTGTATCTAAAGTCACTTCTATACTAGGCTGAAGCCCACTATCCTTGCTTGCACCTCTCTTGTTCGATAATTCACATAATAGTCTGTACATAAGTGGATATTGCATCCTTCTTGAGGTATTTCTGTTTTTAGGTAAAATTACACTACTTTCAATTTTTAGGCTGCTCTGAAATCCGTTAACAAATTTTCAACTTATTTTTCTAATTTTATTGCAGTTTCTAATGGAAGACATTGCTTAGCTTTGTTTAACTTTTTCTCTCTAGGTTTGAGATTCCCCAACTTTATGGACTATTACTTAAAAAAAAAAAGAGATTACAATCTATGTTGGATTCTGTTTCTTTTTCTATTTCAGATTATTTACCATATCTGGATAATATTCAATAAACATAACTAAGTGACTTTAGTAAACATTTAATCAATGTGGAACATAAGGAAGGTGAGCTCAAAATTCAGTAATATGCTGCTATAGCTCCAGTCTACAAGTTCTGTAACATACTCTTTTTATCTACTTCTTCAACTTTCATTTTCATTTGAACTTTCTTTCTCATGTTAACCATTCTATTCAACTTGATGTCACTTGGCACATTTTCCCCAGTGTAACACAAAAATCCTGCAATCTTACTGTTCACCTGGGTCCTTCTGTGTTGTCTTCACGAGACTTGGGAACAAGGAGAACTGATACACAGACTGTTGAGCTGTGAGTAACAAATTCCTTGGTCTCCCATCCAGAAATATTCTGTCTTCTGCAGGCACCCATTAAACAGTAATAAGCTAACCTATTAATTTGTATGTAGGGTAAAATCAAACCACAGATATAACACTCTTGAACTGTACTCATGAATAAATTGAAATAGAGGAATCATGTGGCATACTCAAAGTCATTCAACGTTAAAAACTGAGAACTTAGGTCCTTGACCTAACTAAAACTTAAGTTTTATAACTATATAATTTGCATTGAAAGTACTGGATGTATTTACTTCCCCCCTTTTACATAAAGCAAAGTCTACTGACTATTAACCATCATTCTTAATATTAAAAGACAGCATGGTTTTGGTCAGAGAGGGGATACTATTTTGAAGAATTATTTGATTTTTCTTCCATATTTCCATTCTGTCCTTTGTTTTTGCTCTCACTTAAATTTCAGGCCATTGTGTTTTAGTTGCCTCAGAGAAAGGATATGAATCAGAAATCAAAGATACAAAATTAGCTTTCTGTATTTAAGTCTAAAAATCCTAGACTCTTCGAGGAATGAAATAGAATACATTGGAGTTTACATAAGAAAAGTAAAGCTTTCCTACTCCTCTTTCAGTCAAGCAGGAGATAAAGTTGGAAGAACCTAGTTGTGCAAGTACAGTCATTGGCAAATGTCAAAGAGGGTGCTGATTTCTAATTTAAGGACTGAGCTCTGGTGAATCTCAAAACCTCAGGTAAGTTTCAAGGAGTAATGCAAACCTCTGTGCATTTCCTCAGGAGAACTAAGAGGGAGCAGTGAGAGCTCTGAAAAGAAATGGCTGCATGGTGGACTTAGATAACCTGAGACCTTAGACAGTCTCACACAACGTTCCGTACTCCTCTGTGCCATGGGAGCTATAGAACAATTTCCAGACTGGCACAGAAATAGCAAAAAAAAAAAAAAAAAAAAAAAGTCCAACCTAAAGAGGTCATGCACACAAGAATGAAGATGCTGGGTAGCACCTCAGTGAGCACCTGAGTTGTGACTCTAGAATATTTGAAACAAGCTTCCATGCCACCTCTCTTTACCCGCCCGCCCCCCTACCAAAAAAAAAAAAATGAGTACAGTAGAACTCACCCCATTGAGTTATTTAGATATGACACAAGAAAAAGAAGGGAACTAAAATTGCCTGAGATTGTACCTTCACTAACTCAAAGAATCAAAGCTCAAAATAGAAACCAAGGTGAGTTATAGAAAAATAGAAAAGTTACATTTCTTGTACATCAGAGATTGTGGGCTGAGATTTATAATTTGACATGACAAATAGCAATGAAAGGAAATACTACCTACTCCTTTCATTTGTTGAACAAAATTTGTTAGAAAATTTCAGCTCTCCTCCAGGACTAATGAATGTAGTAGAGTGGGGAATTGAATGAAGAATTCTTGGCACAGCTTTAGGCTTTTCAGATGTAGAACTCAGTAATAGAAATTATGTATAGAATACTATATATTTATTAATCAATCTTCCTCTGTCTGACTGTAACCTCCTGAAGGAGAGAGACTGTGTTTCCCAGAGTGCCCGGTACTGGGCTCTAAGCACGGTTGGCCCTCAATAAATATTGTCAGCCACCTTATGGATTGAGGCCACGGTAGAAAAGAATAAAAAAAGAGGAAACAGTAAGGCAACACATGAGGAGAGTGCTAATTCTAAAATGCACCAACTTACTTCCTTTTCCCACTTCCTACCACAATCCCTATGTTTTTCTATTAAAAAACTTACTTGCCTGACAACATTGTAAAGCTTATTGAAGAGAACTAGTAATCTTTCCCTTGAGTTACTAAAGAGCAGAAAATATCAGTTCAAGCAGTGTGGGATACAACCTTCAAACATAGCAAGGTAGACGAGGTTGGCTTTATAAATAGGGGACTCATTCTCATTTTCATTACTGAAGCTGTACTTAGCACCACCACTTAGTACTGTTTATAAACTCTTTGATATAGCAAATAGTGATCTAAAGTCCCTTGGTGGGTTGCCACATGAAGAGAACAAAGAAACTCCTTTAGTGGTCTGAGCCCTGTGTACTATTATCACTTTATCAAAGATGCAGGTTCTCTTTTTGATCCTTGAAGTGACGGGTTTAAAAAAAAAAAATGACCCATTAGCACTAATGGGTCCTGCAGGTGAGTCCCTGTGCATGTGAAGGAGGATATACTTAATGGCTCTGTGTATGAACAAGAGCCTGCATGGGCAACCAGTAAAAGCCAACTTTCCTGTAGATATGAAGCTAGCCTGTTACCTCTTCTTCAAAATGAGTGGCTGATTTTTAATTCATATGTTTTAAGGACCATGTAGGCAATTGATAAGGCAAAGGTTGAATTGGGACACTTTCAGCAAAAGAAGTAGAGAACATGTACAATACCAAAAACTCAAAAGTCTAAGGGGTGAGTTTCTTAAAATAATCTCAATAATACCCTTATTTTTAGTACTGTATATACACAGCCACTATGTTCCTCTCAAGAGTGTTATCTGTGAATGAACTGGGGTGATATCATGAGTATCCATTCCGCAGTAATTGAGCAGTAATGACTAGGGAATAGGGCACAGGCATTTTGGTTTTCTCTGTCTACAAACCCTGGCTCTGCCACCTACTGGCTGTCTCAGTGTAGGCAAGTTAGGTTACATAACTTCTTTAAGAGTCAGATTCTTCATCTATGAAATGGGGTTGATAATGCCTACCTTGCAAGGCCATAAGGATTACAAAGTATGCACATAAAGCATCTAGTATACAGCATGGACTTAGCCCGTCATTGATACTGGTATGGCTGTCAGTATATCTGTAAGGATGACACATCTATGATGTACCTCAATCTATGCTGATTCCACTGAGAAATGCAGAAGAAGGAGAAGTATAGTTTATCTCCTGTTTCTAGCACAACTGGAGTGACAACATGTCAATTTTATAAATTCTCCATGATATTTTTTCTATTGGATTTAGTTGACAGTCATTTGTGTGCTGAAGTGTGCCTTACACTATTCTAAAAGTAGCTCACAGAGCTCCTTTGACTTAATTTGAAATTCGGTGGCATTGAATCTGGTAATATAAATAGGAAAGTTGCTTGACAAATATCTTCTAATTTGACACAAAGCGATTAAGAGGACAAAAAAACTCTATGAAGCCCAAGGGCCAGGTTGTCAGTTCCAGACTAAACATGCCTTAGAAAATCAGAGAAATAACAGGTTTTTGTGGACTGTGGTTGCAAAGTGGGGGAGCATACAAAAGTTGAGACAAGAAGAAAGTATGGGAGACATTACTATTGTAATGATATAAATGTGGATGCCAGACACAGGGAACAGCACAATTGTACCATGGAGACAAAATTTATATGGCATTTAGGAAAGAGAATAAAAGGCTTGACTGGAAGAGAGGAGTTTTCAGTTATTTATTAAGTTATGTAAATAATATTGTATAAGTAAAGTCAAAGGAAAGGCCACCATAGAACTTATGACTGCTGGCTGAAAAAAATAAATAATTAAAGATAATGAGAAATCCAAGGATCAAAGCAAAGCAGGCTAGGAAACTAGGGAATTTGAAGCAGTAATAATCCGGAGGAGAAATAAAATTGCATTTAACGTCATGTATGTGGAATTTGAGTAGGAACATCCTAGAGGAATCCAGTGATATGAACCTGGGCCTTAGGGAACGGAGGTTGGAGCTTAGAGGCCTTCCTTGGGAGCCACCAACCAAAAGCAGACAAATGACGCGGTAGAGATTTCCTCTTCACTTAAAATAGGAAGCATAAGGCAATTAGAGTAAAGACCAAGCTCTGCCTTACAGTAGCAGAATGCAAGTGTCAAGGTATAATTAGTTCTTTGACTCAGCTTTCCTGTTTATTCACATGTACTTTTTTGAACCTCTTAAATATCTCACTTTCATTTTAATTTTTTTAAAAAGCATACAGAAAAAGGACAATTGCCTTATAGATTTGAATAGCTAAAACTCCAGGAAATATGAAGGAAGCTCTCACAAACTTTTATAAATGGCATTTGGGGAAAAAGAAAAAGTGAAGTCACACAAATTAGCTTACTTTCCTATAGCTGGACTAGAGAAAGTGCAATTCTAGACACTTCATTTTAAGAAGATTGGACCTTGGAGAGAAAATTTGGGTGCAGCTTTTTCTCCTAATTCTTATTGTGATTGGATGGTAAAAGTAGTGCAATCAAGCTTGGGTAGTTTCTGAGCACATTCTATGGGAAGGGTGCCTTTCGGGGAACAATCAACCTCTGTCCCCAAATTTGTACCATTATCTTTAATTTTAATATTGTATTGCACACACATAAAGGAATATCTGTAGGTCAGACCTTATCTAGATACACTGAGAGAGCTTGTCTTTAGGTGACAAATCCAAACCTCTAAAACAGGTGTTCCCTGTTAGATAAAAGAAAATGACCTATAATATCTGATAAACAAACATTTGTTTGCTTTCTTAGTAGAAAGCCTAAGTGTGACTGCTTAAATAAATAATATTAAACTACTAAAAGAAAAAGCATGGGAAGTGAATACTGCTCTAATCTATTTGAGCTTACAAGTAAACAAATATAAACTTCTATAAGAAACCACACAGAAATGAACAATGAAAACTATACAAGATCATTTCTAAGTTCAAGGCTTGTAAAATATTCAAAATGGAAATCAAATGGGCAATTCAAGCAGACATTTTGCTCTGAGACACAAGATCTGTGTCTGTAATAAATCTCCATTTTTTAAAAGATTAATTTTAGAAACTCTCCGCTGAAGAGATGTTAAGTGGTCACCAGCTTGATTTATTGTTTTTTAACTTCTATACATCTTAGTCTCCCTTGGTACATAAAAGGTTTAGCCTTACAACAATCTATTTTTGCTTCTGTAGGAAATAACCATAAATTATTATCTTTAGGCGTGTCCTGAATTTCTAGGTCCAGCCTAAAATCAAACCTTCATCATCTCCCTTGCTGTGAAATTACTTTTTCTAAACTTTCATGTTGTGTAACAGCCACATATCTAGTCTACCTGCTCTCCAGATTGGAAATTCAGTATCATTTTTAACTTTATTTTATATCTCACACCTTACAATCAACTACTGCCAAGGGGTGAATGACTCAACTTTGCCAATATTTCTGACATTTGTTGTTTCGTTTTCATTCCCATTTCCAGTTCTTATCTATTTTTCTTCTTGTACACACCTTTTAAGTACTAACCTGTTACCTGGTGTCACTGTCTCCATTCAGCCTCCTCATCAACACTGTCTCAGTCACTCCACTGTGTTCTGATATCTTCAATACCTTTCTGTATCATCTAAATTAAGTCTAAGGCTCAGCAGTGATCAAGATTTTGAATTACTTCTCTTCAAAAACTTTTGCTAAACTTTGAACTATCTTTCAAAAATAACTTTTGCCAGGTAGAAGATTGAAATAATATCTATCTTCGCCCCACAGTCCGACCTTTAGTCAAACTTTGTTGGCAGCCTTTCCCCAACTCTGCATTTTCCCACTGCTCCATCCTTGCTTGTGGTATACAATACTTCCAGCATGAATGCCTTTCCTCTTCTGATGTTGTTCTTCAAAATCCTACTCAACTTGGGGGACTCAACTCAAACTCCACCTTGGAAATGTGTACCTGTTTCCTTAGCCACAGATAAATATCTTGGAATCCTCATAAAAAATTGAACCCCTTTTCTGAAAATGATTTTATCTTTTTCAGTTCTTTGTATGTGTAAGCCTTATGTAACCATTAGTTTATACATTATTTGAAGGAATAATCCTAAACACGTTTATATTCTCATTTTCACTTAGTAAGCATTTGATAATTAGTTGTTGACTCACTGAATGAATGGATGAATTAGTAGTTCACATTCAATAAATAATCATTGAAACAATAAGGACACAGGGAAGGTTTTATGTCAGCACTCATATTTGTCCCTGGCTCTTTTTACCTGAGCAATAATGAATTAAGTTAATTGTGGAAAATTTTTCATCTACTAATCCATTTCTTTTTCTTTTTTTTTTTTTTTTTTTTTTTTGAGATGGAGTCTTGCTCCGTTGCCCAGGCTGGAGTGCAGTGGCACAATCTTGGCTCACTGCAACCTCCGCCTCCTGGGTTCAAGCAATTCTCCTGCCTCAGCCTCCAGAGTAGCTGGGATTACAGGTCTATGCCATTACACCCGGCTAACTTCTGTATTTTTAGTAGAGATTGGGTTTCACCGCGTTGGCCAGGCTAGTCTCAAACTCCTGACCTCAGATATCCGCCCGCCTTGGCCTCCCAAAGTGCTGGGATTACAGGCGTAAGCCACCATGCCCGGCCTGATCCCTTTCTTAAACACAAAGGTGAAGCCATCCAGCTCATTAAGAAAATTTAGGGAATTCAATGGCATATTTTTTCCCACTCTGATAGTGTAACTTGATAGAGTAATACATGACCAGTTTTAACTGACACATACTGAATTTATTTGTAGAAAGAGATACAGAGATGAAGATAGAGGTGTAGAAACAGTTTGGAGTATCAGTGTGCGTAGTAATGAGAACCCATGCATGAATCGTCTTCTCCAATTAAAATATGTACAAAAATCTTTGGAGGAAATTAAATTTGAGCCTATCCTGGCCTTCTGTTTCATTCTGGCTCTATGCTGCTCCATATACAAAGATGACCTGATTCATGCATCCTCCATAGGCATATGGACACCATGAGCACTTCACACTGTCTCTCCAGACTCATCTGCTCTGTTATTATCACAAAGAAAGACATGCATTTATTTGCTGTGTGTGTCTGTAGAACACAGAGAAGCTAACTGTGTGGACCCTTAGTGCTCTGCTCTAGTGAGTTTGTTAATCCTCATCTGCACTTCCTTTTGGTTTGCAGATGTTTCACTCCTTCTAGCCTTTGGGCCACCACTCAAAGACTCCTAAGGTTAGAGTCCTTCTAGTTTGTAGCTTCTATTTCTTGGCTCCTTGTCAGCCACAGGTGTTCCTGATGCTACAGCAGGCTTACACATCTAACAGTATATTGCTTTAGCTAAAATGACTTTGAGTTTCACAAAAATCACCGAGACAACTGAACTGAAATGTACAGAGTCCTGAGTGAGAGAGGTCTTCCTTACTGCTTTGAATCTTTGGTAATCAGTGTCAGGCATTACTATGGTCAAAACCAGAAAAAACAGCTCTGACTTCATCATTATAATAATAACTGACATGAGTTAAGTATCCTTAACTTGACCAAGCATTTGCACATATATTGTTATATCTGGTTTTTGCCTGTTGAGCTACAAGAGGAGTAAAGGTTATCAGGGATACATGTTACAGATGAAGAAACTATGGTTTAGGGCTACAATACCAGAACAGGGCAGGGTCTTATTGCAAGCCCAGGTCTTCTGAAACTATGTTAATTGTCCGTTAATCCAGACTGACACGCACATGTACACCCTGTACACTCTAAGTGGCAAGTGGCCAATATGTACAGCTTCACTACTACAACATACAGGAAATTTTGGAGAGTTGTGGCTAGTTGATAAAAGTAATGGTAATAAATGGTAGCAAAAATCCAAGCAAGCTAACAAATTCCTGAGACAACTGGTACAATAAGAGACTCATCTGCATAATAATGGAGTAATCTCATAAAGGCAAAGTCAATTTTCTTCCATAATTATAAATATTAGGTATTCAAATTCTGATACATAAGTAGAATTCTTATGTTCAAAACTTTTTAAATCAAATTTTATCAAAATGTTTTTTACCAAAAGTCAACATTTGATTTTTAGATACAGCAGTTACTTTTCAATTGTCTCCCACAAAGAGATAAATCAGACACTTGTATGTATCCATGGCCCAATCTAGTACAAACCAGCACTTACGTGGGACAAGTTGGGGAGGGGCAACCCCAAGAAGATAAGAGTTTAGACCTTAACGTTTTCCTGTAGTGAGTTTTGGGGAGTTAATATTGTTATTATCCATATCAACAGAACATATAATTCTTTCAATATTCTGAACTTTTGTTTCTTTTTTTTTTTTTTTTTTTTTTTGAGACGGAGTCTCGCTCTGTCGCCCAGGCTGGAGTGCAGTGGCGGGATCTCGGCTCACTGCAAGCTCCGCCTCCCGGGTTCACGCTATTCTCCTGCCTCAGCCTCCCAAGTAGCTGGGACTACAGGCGCCCGCCACTACGCCCGGCTAATTTTTTTTTGTATTTTTAGTAGAGACGGGGTTTCACCGTTTTAGCCGGGATGGTCTCGATCTCCTGACCTCGTGATCCGCCCGCCTCGGCCTCCCAAAGTGCTGGGATTACAGGCGTGAGCCACCGCGCCCGGCCGAACTTTTGTTTCTTATTTAAATTTTGAAACAAAACTGCCCCCAAAAAGATTTTTTTAAAGTATGATTCTGAAACTTACAACAGGAAGACAGATTTTGTTTGTATGTTTGGCCAACAGACTGTGAGGAAACCTGGTGGGCATGCTAAATGGGAAATAATAAAGTGAAATTGCTATGGGAGCGTGTAGAGTAATCCATCTTCTTTTAAACCCACTCTATGCCAGTAACAGTGTGGCAGATGGGGTGCGAGTTCAGGGATATAAATCCATGCCAAGCTAACTTCATCTAATGGCTTTAAATTTTTAAATTTACCTTTAGGTAAAAATTGGGTACAAACAGTTTCAGTTTTTTCCTTTTGTCTCATCCAAATGACAGCCAGTTTAAATACCTGTGACATTCCTTACAGCAGACAATTCTGTCACCATTCCATGTTTCATTTTTTTTACTTACTGTGTAATGCTCTCTGGGACTGCATATGGATTTGCAGGGGTTTTCAACCTCACATATACTGCTGTACCTTACACATGCATAAACAGTGCAGTTTGAAAGGTGCTTTTTTCAGAAGCTTTTGAACCAGAGTGACTCCATCTTGAATAGGGGCTGGGTAAAATAAGACTGAGACCTACTGGGCTGGGCTGCATTCCCGAAAGGTTAGATGTTCTTAGTAACATATGAGATAGGAGGTCCACATAAGATACAGGTCACAAAGACCTTGCTGATAAAACAGAATGCAATAAAGAATCTGGCCAACAGGCGCGGTGGCTCAGGCCTATAATCCCAGCACTTTGGGAGGCTGTGGCGGGAAGAAACCCCAACTCTACTAAAAATACAAAAATTAGCTGTGCGTGGTGGCATGCGTCTGTAGTCCCAGCTATTTGGGAGGCTGAGGCAGGAGAATCGCTTGAACCCGGGAGGCAGTGGTTGCAGTGAGCCAAGATCGCGCCCATGCACTCCAGCCTGGGCGACAGGGAGAGACTCCGTGTCAAAAAAAAAAAAAAAAAAAAAAAGGAATCTGGCCACCAAAACCAAGATGGCAATGAAAGTCACCTCTGGTCATGCTCACTGCTCACTATATGCTAATTATAATTTATTAGCTTGCTAAAAGACACTCCCACCAGTGCCATGACAGTTTACAAATGCCATGTCAACGTCAGGATCAGAAAGTTACCCTATATGGCTTAAAAAGGGGAGGAACCCTCAGTTCTGGGAATTTCCCACTCATTTTCTGGAAAACTCATGAATAATCCACCCCTTGTTTAGCATATAATAAAGAAAAAACTATAAGTATACTCAGTTCAGCAGTCCATGACGCTGTTCTGCCTATAAAGTAGGCATTTGTTTGTTTCTTTACTTCTCTAATAAACTTGCCTTCACTTTACTCTATGGACTTGCCCCAAGTTCTTTCTTGCACAAGGTTCAAGAACCCTCTCTTGGGTTCCGGTTCAGGGCCCCTTTCTCGTAACACTTTCACATCTCTTACTCCATTTGATCCTTGTTGCAACCCTTCACAATAGGTAGGGTGGTTATTATTATCCCTACCTGACAGATGAACAAACTACCCTTCTGAAAAGTTTAGTTACCTGCCCAGGGTAATACAAGCAATACAAGAATAATAATGCCAGCACTTCAGCGTTTGACTCCCAGGCTAATTCTTTTCTGATGCACCACACTCTCTCCTATTTTTACTAAAACCCTTCTCAATGACAGGAGTAGAATAGATAGAGGAGTTTAGAAATGACTGTTCTGGAAATTAAAAGAGACTGATAAATAGGGAACAAGTAGCAGAACTTATGTAAAGCTGTTATTTTTTCCCGAATAGTGTATAGAACAATTAGACTTTCTTTCCCAAAATAACTTTTCTTATTTGAAAGACAGGTTTTTTTCTTATTTCAAAACAAACGAACATTTATTTTGGGTGGGGAAGACCCAGTGGTATAAAGGGCAAATATAAAAGAACAGCTCTTTCCTATAATACGTCTCTTTAATGTAGGTGAAAAATTGGCACCGGCTCTCAACTTAGATATAAACAGGATAAAAAAGGTTATAGCCACCAGTGGTTTTCTGTGTAGCTTGAAAGGACAAAGTAGTATAAAGCACACACAAAAAAACTTACAGACATTGCCAAAGAGCTTTCAAAATATTATGAGCTTCCTGGAGTCAAATCACACTCTTGTTTTTCCTTAAGTATCTGAACATTTCTGTATTTTTTTTTCCAAAAAAGAATTCCTTCTGTGCTCGAAAGATGGAATATTATTAATACCAATAAGGTCATCACATCCAGTTGCTATAGTGTAATTTCCTAGTGCATGTCTCCAAACACTTTGTTCTTCCAACATAAGCTATTCTTAAGGAGAAATGGAGATACTTAAAAGCAGGGATCCCTCCTCCAGGTCAGGGAAGTGTTAGGAACTTTTCCTAAAGGCTAAGGAAATTAAGGGCTTTGAGAGCTGAATGAGCCTGCAAGTAGCCAGTTTGCACCAGCCGATGACTGATTGATAGGCCAACCCCCAATCACCCAACCAAGTACTAGATTTTCCAGAGCCTATTCTACATACCTATAAATGCAAATGTTCTGCAGAATATATATAAAGGACACACAGCAATTAAAGTTGTTAGCTGTATTGTTTGAGGAGAACTTCAGGGGCTAAGAAGACAGAACCAATATATAGATGCTATGCAAGGCATTGGGGAGAGAAGAGCATATAGAAAGTAAAGTGGAAATATCCAGTTCCTTTGCAACTACCAGAAGTGGAATTTTCAATGTTATACAATGTAGTAGAAAAGTAGAAGCTTGATTAAGATTTTTTATGGAATAGAAAGTGTTTTATTTTATGATATTTCCCCCCAAGATTAAAATAAATGTTAGCTTTTCACTGTAGACATTCAGAAGTAATCCTTTCAAATATTTTGGCAAATACAGATGGCAGTATTTAAATACTGCCGTAGACCTGGGTTCAAATTCTGTTTCTATTGCTTTGTGCTACGTGACAAATGAATAACTCACTTAAGCCTTCCAAGTCTCCATTATCTCATCTGTAAAATGGGGGCACTAATAATTCACTGATCTAATTGTTGTGAGGATTCAGAGACCGTATGTGTAAAATAAATACTAAAATTGAATTTCTGACTGAAGTGCCAACACAGTCAATATCAGACAATGTGAGAATGAGACAGACATCCAGATTCAAAATTTATCAAGGAACAGGTGAAATACTGGTTCTAAGGCCCTTGAACCCCTCAGCTACATTAAGGAAATAATAAAAATAAAATGGATCAGAAATGGGAAGGAAAGGTGTCTGAGAATATTTTTTGAAGTAGCTCGTACTATGCAGTGAGTTTGTGCTCCTACATTCTAGCTCCAAGCCTAGCAAGGCAGCTCTCAGAGGAGGGTCTCCTGGAGTGCTTGCTTTGCGTTCCCGACCACTGGAGGATGCAGAACTGGCACCCGACACGCTGAGAAAACTTTAAAGAGGTCAAGATGGAATGGAACGGAAATGAGAGCATTGGGAATGGGGTACACTTCCAAGGTTGAGGGGACAAAGGATCCATGGAAACTCCTCGTGGGCCGAGATAGGCCCCAAGTGCATGACAGCAAGCTGGGCAGGACTGCCTAGAGACAGGTCAGCCCATGTGGTAAGAGTCTGTGAGGAGGGAGCAGAAGCATCCCCCTACACAGGGATTAAGGTTGGAAGTTCTAGCAGAAAAGCCTTGGATGAACCCAAGAATGCACCAGGAGAGGAGGAATTCGAGGGATCTGCCAGACCAAGAGTCCCAACATCAGTTGATGTGCCTTGTCAAAAAGCTGTCGAAAGATAATTGCAGGAAAAGGCAGTAGCCGAACTTGCCCTTTGCCCTACTGCCAGTGACTGACCAAAGCAGAGGGCAGCCTCAATTCTGAGCTTTGATTAGTAACTCAGATTGGTGGTTTGTAATTTTAATGAATGTTATGTTTTATAATATAAAATTATTATATAATTACCTTAACAGTGAACCCAAACATTTACTCTAAATCAGTACGTGGTACAAAACCTTAACACAATACATTTTAAAGTGATCGGTTGCGGTAAAACCAAAAAATGATATTATAGCTTGACCACATTAGGACATCATACTTATTTAATGTAATGCTTTCACACATAAGCCCTTAACATGATGCATGACATATAGGCATGCATAAATGACATAATTGATAATAACGAGGATGATGGTGACAATAACGAAGGTAATTTATTATATCTTTGAACAGAGAATACAGACAGACCCAAGCCATAAGATAGTTTTTCTCACGAAAACACTCAGTTTTCTACAATACCACTCTATTGATGTGCATGATTCACACATGTCGCAGCCAAAAGACATTTAATGTCATTTTGGATATCATTTTGGGAAACTGAGTTCATTGGGTTTCACAAAAAATATCGGGAACTACACATGTTAAATTTTTAACTGTCAAAGGGCTGTTGTGTTAGAGAAAGAATGGTACACTAGTACAGGCCCTTATAGTGTTTGAATTCTTTTTACAGTCCCAGAACTCTAAGGGGAAGCCAGTGGTGAGAGGCCTAAGGAGTCTGTGTATTGTGGGTAGGGGAGTGTGAGTGGGGCATGAGGAGGGGAGAGGGAGGAGAGAACTTCCCACAGACAGGTTAGGAATATTGATAACTAACATCATACTAGTCAACCTCTAATAAACTTGAGATGGCAAATGGGCTCTGCTTGTACTAGGGTAGTTATGGGAAATTGGCCTAAATATTGCCAACACCTGTCAGATCCAAATGAGCCTTATGAGCCCTCCTAGTCCTTTTTATGAACCCTTGAGCATCAAAGAATACACTGGCAAACCTTGTGTATTGTTCTGGGAATTAATTGAGATGAGATACCATGTGCAAATCTTTATAACAGTACATGAGATACGACGAACCCTTAGAAATGGTTACAATAATTTCTATTTAGTATTACTATCATTATTGTTCTGGTGAGATGCTTAACCTCCCCAAGCCTCATGTTAGTTTCATCACCTGTTACATGGTGATAAGAACAGCAACTTCATCAGTTTGTCACAAAAATTAAAGAGAAAATATATGTAGCTGTCTTACCTAATGCCTAGTAAAGGTAGATGAGGATGATGGTGATGATGATGGTGATAGTGATATACCCTGCCTAAGGAAATACACAAAAGAAATGGCAGAGATGCTATTTCACCCAGGTCTTTCTGACGTCAAAGACTGTATTATTAATTATAATGCTATATGCTTCTTGTATTGTCCTTACGAACAACCAAAATAATTAATTGCAAAGGCCAAAAAGGGGCCACTTTTAAGAATGGACACAGAAAACCACATTCATGTGATGTCAATGGGGGACGCTGATTGACCTAATGTGGTTCCTAAGGAGCACTGGAAGTACCCTCTAGTGCATGAAAATAAAGAGCCACAACAGTGCTATGTCATTAAAAATGCACTTTCCTGTGTGGATAAAGATGGCAGATTTAGCTTTTGAGCATTTCTACCGTGGGAGCAGCAACTTTGTTTTAAGCCCACCCAACTTTCAAGTCTATTTCCATGTTGACCCATGGCTCAAGAGGAATTGTACAGTACCCGGGATGGAAGCTGGCTTTCTTCTGGCGGGGACTGTGTTATTACTGAAATCCAACTAGATGAGACAATTGCCTGAAAATGATAGTGACATTCCCTTTTGGGAATATAGTAAACAACTGTAACATTGCCCAGATGTCAGCCTGGGCCCCTTTGTCCATTACAGATCTAGATGAGTCTGGTTAGGACCCTCGCATCTGCACAGAAGGTAAAAATCTAAGGTCCTCCTTCTTCTGGCATTTCCTGTGAATTCCTGGGAACCTCTGACTATTGCTTGGCTTTGCTACCTCATGTACTCCCTATGTATAAACAAAGTCTCTGTCTCCACCCAAAAACAAATGCTGCTCACTCAAGCACTTATGAGTTTCATCATCTAAACATTTGGGTATCACCTAGCACCTAGTATTCTATCACCTTGAAGAATTTAGGCCCTATCCTCACCCCCTACTCCAGAGCAAGGCAAACCCTGTCCCTGAATTCTTGCATAGCAGGTTAAAAATCACACTTTTTGAGCCTTTGATATCTTCATTTATAACCCAAGTAGCCTATCCCCATATTTCTTTAAACAAATCCAGTAAACTCATATTTGTATAATGTGACTCTGTCTCTTATTCCCTCAACCTGGCACAGGGAGGACATCTGTCTTGATCAAATGTACTCTTCCAAGAATTTGGCACTAGAACTGCTAAACTTAAACGAGTCTTTCTTGGGTGTTTGAGTTGATCAGGGGTGAAAAGCCAGGTCTGAGAAGGCCAAGTTTACCAATGCTTGTGAAAGCAGAGAAAACTAGTGTGCAGAGCAGGAGAGGAACAAGGGAATGATCCTTGGGCAGCTTTTGGGAGGCAGCTCACAGCCCCAGTAGAGACCAAGTGAGGCTGCAACACTGGCTTATTGCTAAGAGCTTTCCTGAGTACGCCTTTTATGGAGCCCAGCATTGATCTTTCTCTGTTCTTGTCCGTGGGTTCCTGTAATGCTACATCCTGTCTCCCTGTCCCTTTCCACATCACTTGTCAGTCTGAATGGTTTTATGCTACTGTACTCCAAAGACTTCTGTATAAGTCTCCCTTCAGCAAAAGGAGGGAGGTCTGAGAGCTAGGAAAACCCTGAAGATTTAAATCTTACTTGAATGAGAGAGATATTGTCAGATATCTGCCTTCTCAGATGGCTGACAAAGACAGCTCTTGAACAAGAAGCTCGAATTCTAAGAAGACAACGCATCACCACTCCTGGCATTCCCTAAAGAGGGACCTGCACCAAAGGCTCATCTCTGGATGACGATGAGGTCTTGTGAGCAGTCACCTGACCTTTGAGAACTCAGCTCTGAGCACCTGCAGGTACTTGCTGCTCCAAGGCACAAATGTCACCACCTTGAAGAGCTCAAGCCATCTAATCACCATCCTGCTGGGACGTGGTAAACTGTCAGCTTATCATGAAAGGCATCTGGGCATAGGATTGAACTTTCCAGTAGCCCACACTTGGCGTGGAAAAGCTGAAGAAAGCTATTTCTCCCTGTGCACAACCTCCTTGTGGCTGTTCCAAGCATGGAAGCCAAGGCCTGTGGCTGTCAGAGTTCAGCTAGTGTGCTGGGTGAGAAGAAACCAGCCCCAGGGCTTTATGCATCTGCAAATGGGATGGGTTGGGATCTTTAAAGTTTCACCAAAAGCAGAGTCAATAGGTGGCACTCTCGCTACCAATCTCCATCTTGGGCCTGTGACTGAACACACCAATAATCTTCACCAATGAATCCACACAAAGGTGCAGATTTCTTTTCAGTGTGTTGCTGCAGGTTGTCACTAGCAGTCAATTGAGATTGATATGAGCAACGCAACTTCTATCTTCTGAGCTATGGTAAAGAAATGTGAAACTGGGATAGCTGTGCAGGTCAACCTCCCCTGAGCAGATTTCTCTCATCTGTAAAAGGAATTGGTCACACCAGACAATCCCCAAGATCACTTATACTTCCTAAGTTCACGTGATTCTAATGGTGGGAAGAGAGATTTCAAATAATATAGTTGGAGGGAGTTGATAAAACTAAATATAGACAACCCATGGTTAATGTCAGAAAAATTCAGAAACAAGTAAAATGGGTGAAGGAATTTTTAAAAAATGCTTTTAGTAGAGAATAAAGAATTTACACTCTGCTGAAATACTGTGAGCTGGGCCAAGAACCACAGGGAAGCAGAGGGAAGAACTCCCAAACCAAATGTTGGATAGCAGGTCCCAGATAACTGCATGGGAAGGGAATGTTTTAATCCCACTCTCAACTTCCCGCCTCCTTAAGGTAGGATTAAAACACACTGACAAAGGCTTTACAGTACGGAGAACAGATTGAGACAAATTCTGCAAAACCCGGGGATTCAATGGATGTGGCAGAAGAGAAACAGTTTCACATCTCTGTCTGTCTTTCAAGTAACTGCTCTAAAATTCTTGTGTAAGGAAAGGAGTAACAATATATCAAGTCTTATTTCTACATACTCAGAAACTTATTGTCTTTGTTCTGTACCATGGCAATTGCCTCAAAAGTGGTGTCTTTTCCCTGAACCTCGGCTCATCCATCCCATTGAAGCCAAAGGAATAATTCTAATGAGCATTGTGAACTCTCCTCTGCTTCTCAAAACCCTTTAATTTCACCTTTCCCATCTTCTGGCATGGCGTTCAGGGCCCTTCAAAATGAGAAAATTACCCTGCTCTTTTGTCAGGGGTTACAGACGGCCTTCCAACCCATAGTCTCCTTCTCTTCCCTTTCAAGTTCAAAAAGCTACCTCTGTGTAATTGTGTAATTGGACTAAAGAAGTGAGCCTAGCCAGTAGCAGCAGGGGAAAAGCTTATGAAGTTATAGCCTAGACCCAGGTCCACACACTGTATTAAACCCTGTACTGGGGGGAATTGGAAAGTGAGATGAAGCAGTGAATGGACAGAAGTGGAAACATACACAGGAATAAAAGCCATAGGTGTAAGCCACGAGACAGAAGAAGCCAAGATTGGAAGAAGCCAGCAGGCAGAGAGGAGCCATCTCACAGCAGTGCCAGCAGACAGAATAGAGCGAGGGTGGCTGCACTGCTGTCACGGTGGGGCAATGGATTAGGGAGCAGTGAACATGTGTATCCGAGGGAAAAACCAAGAGGATGGCTCTTGAGATCCCAGTATGACTCCAAGAACAAAGTTCTTATACTCTGTGAGGCCTCATTGCTCAACAGCTGAAAGGGTTTCTTGTCTGTCTTACTTCCTACTGGATCCTTAAAATAATCTACAAATGGAAATAGTGTTAATAAATCTCTTTCCCTTATATAGACTAAAAAAAAAAGTAACCTCAAACAGCAACAACAAGAAACTAATAAAGATGGCCTAACCACAGGACAGCAGGACCTTCCCTCCACTTCCGGTGCCATATCCTGCTCTAACGTTAAGCTCAACATCACTCTTCCCTGAATATTTTCTATTTAAACAAAGTATCTGGGCAAGACAAGTGGGCTGTCAGATGTCCTGTGGGCTGAATGTACAAAGCCTGGGCATGTTTAAATGTGATTATGACTTTGAATAGAATCTGGTTTACTGAATGACAGCAGTAAAGATTTGTCAAGTAGCAACATGAAAAGGTATAAAATGGAGGGGATATGTGTTATATTCAGGATTGGAGAGGGCAGGGAGCTGAGTAATAGCAACTGGTCAGAGATCAAGAAGAAAAGAGCAAGAATACTATTTATCTTCAAACTTTGCTTAGAGGTTGAGTATATTTGAAAAGAAAGTCCCTGTTGAGTTGTTTCTGATTAGGGACATTTAAGTGGCTTCGTAGCAGGATGAACAATAGCAGGCAGTTGCCTTCAGGGTGAGATTTAAGGAGGAATACTAGGAAGGTTGAGGAGGAGATAAATGGGTGATGATCCTGGTAAGAAGGAAAAGGGGCAAGATCAGAAGACAATGAAGACAATGCCAGAGCTCAAAATCCTTGAAGGAGTTTTGGGTTTGAGAGGGAGAACAGAGGAGGAAGAAAGGACAAAGTACTGCCTGGGCTGACCTAGATGTGGCCCATAAATAAATCACTGTACTCAGTTTTATGTAGTTTTGCTAGGTGGCCACCTGAGGGCACTCTATGCTACACAGCTAGGAATCTTTAATTTTCCCCCTATCAAGTAAACTATATATATCCTCAATTTGCTGAAGGATAAACTTAGCTAATGCTTTAAAGAAGGGTACTCATTGAAGGTGGGGGCCAAAAGCAATTCTTCCTCCCTATTTTTTCCCTCAACTAGATTAATAAATGAGCAAGACTGACCTCAATTTAAATCCCTGGGTAATTGCAAGGATTAAATACAGTAACTTCAGTTAAATCTATTTAGCATTTAGTAGGCACTTAATAAATATTAGCTCCCTCCCATATATATGCACATCCTAACATACAAATTTGCCAAATACAGGAACAAGAGAAGGAACACAAGGAGGAATCGCACCAACCATTTATCTCTCTAAAGAAGGCAGGGCTCAGAAGTCCTAAAATGAATACAAAGCTAGGCTAGGAAATCATTCCAGAGAGCAAATTTCTGCTGCTCCTTTCATTGCATGTTGCTGCTTGTACATAATAACCAGAGGGAATAGAACACAAACAGCTGGGAAATAAAGATGAAAGCAAAACTGTATCAGCAGGAAGAGACACACAACCCCCTGAGAATCGAGCGGTGTCATGAGAGATAAGCTGAACAAGGCCAGCTGCATGGAATTTATCTTCTGAGAGAAAGATCATTAGATTCCTACCCATTTCTGATCGTTTCTATTGGAGTCAAGGTGGAGAATGAAATACATGAGCCCCAGTTTTCAAAGTTCTACACTAAAGTCCTGTTCCTATAATGAAACAGAGCCACGGACAAAAGAATGCATCACTATAAAAGCCAACTGTGGAATTTTAGATGTCTGAAAACAAAAGAAATTCTACTTCCCCTTGCAAACGGAGCAGGTTGAGGTTTCCCCAACTCCCGGGTCCTATGCAGCATGTTTTGTGGCCTTCTGCTGCCCTCTAGTGTCTTTTTAAGGTATGGTAAAACATAAGGAGGATAAAAAAAATTCTCCTAATAATCCTAACCAGCCAACAATGTGACTTCAGCCCAGGGCTGGTAAAACAAACAAAAAAACAGTAACATTCTGAAATAAAAGCAAAACCAGGATTTATACAAAAATTTAAAAGTGAGTTAAATTTGGCCTCAACATAGATCTTGCATTATTTCAGGACTCTGAAATAATGGCATCTCTATCAGTCAATGCACTTTAAAAAGAAAGATGCCTGTTTTCTGTGCATCTCTCTCAAATGATTACTGCCTTGGTTGGTCTGAGATAGGATCCAGAAATATGAACTTCGCAAACACCACAACATGATTCTCAAGTAGCTAAAGTTGGCTGACCTTCTTTTGAGAAGCACCAAAGATGGCTGCAATGACTCTCAGCAGGATGGAGAGTAAATCTGATGTTTTCTTTAATTCTTTAAGAATACAATCTATTGACCAAAACAGGTCAACTTTCATTTTTCCTGCAGCTCAGTGCTACATGATTAGTATGCAAAGAAAATACTGCTGTCCATGTCTGAGCGAAGAGTTCATGTAGAAGTTCTCCTTTATGAATAAGTCCCTCTAAATTCCAGCAGGCATCCAGGTGGAAAAAAGAAAAAAATGCCTCGTTGCTCTTGCTCACCCTTCAAATATCCCTCAAACATTACTGCTGCAAAAAAGCCTTCCAGGTG